>NC_000006.12:16423636-16575151 GCF_000001405.40 Homo sapiens
GCAGGGCCTAGCCTTGATTACAGGCTCTCAAGGATTAACCTCGGGAGGACAGAGAGGAGAGAAGACAAGGTGAAGCTTTGTGAGTGGACAGAAATTAAATAAAGGGGTTTCCAAGTTAAGTACAGTGCTCCTGGAGAAGCAAGTTGGAGGCTGCTGGTATCATGCATACACATGCAGGACTATTTAGTGGTACCTGATTATTCTGATCACAAACAATGGTGTTTTTATGCATCATTTATCTTCAGAGAGTGTCTATCTGAGCTGCTTGAAGCAAACGAAACTTATGGATTGGACTAGCCTTACGAGAATGCTAGTTTCAGAGCTATGGCTGTGCCTATAGCAGTTTGTAGGAATTTATTATATAAAGTCCTTTTAACCCCTTGGAGCACTTTTACATCCTTCGCATCACATGATCCTCCAGGTAATCCTATAAGACTGGAAGAACAGGTGTGAAAAGACCATGTCTTATCAAGACCCAGTGGGCCTAAGTGATCTGTCTAAGGTAGACAGAGGGCAGGTGGCAGGGAGCGGCCTGGATCTGCCTTCTGATTTTGTTTCTTTTGTCATGGTTGCTACAACATCATTGCTCCTACAGGCAGAATCAAGAGCTACGGGTTCAAGGGACGAGAGGGAAGAAGGACACAAGCCGGGTGTGTGCATGCGCATGAATGGAGCCTGCGTGCACAAACATTCGGTGATTTGGAGCCATTTACGCAGCTCATCTGGAAAATCACAGCAGAGGAGAGGTTTCCTATGGGGAAGTCTGTTGGGAGCCTGATTTTACCCCTCTCTCTTTGCTCCAGGCTGCACTGGCAAACCTTCGGCTATTTAATAATAGTATCTAGTTGATTTACATCCAGGGTTGCCCAGGGTTCTAGTGTGTGCACTGCCAGGCACAAACAAGTACAGACCAGCTCATGCCCCACAACAAAGTGGCCATTTTATGGGGAATCAACTGGAATTCTCCATTGCTGTCTCTGTCTGCCCTGCTACTCAGAAGACGGTGGAAGGAATGCTGAAGTAAGCTTCTGTAAGAGCTCACTGGCCTGGCTTTGAAAGAGAGGATCAGCTGGGATCTCTGAATAGATGAGGAGTCAGGGTGAAGACAGAAACAAAGAAGTGTTTCAGGTGCAAAGGAAATGTGGGTGCTCCATGACTCTCTGAAGGGAGTCCAAGGGCTGGACCATTCAGAACCTTCAGGAAGACTCAGAACAGCTCCAGCCTGCCTGAGCTGGAAGCAGTGTCACTGTTGGTGTTGCGTCTCCTCTGAGGACCTTCCAGAACCATCTAATGGCATGGGTCAGAACTACTGACTGCTGCATTTTGCACTCAGGGCCTTCCATGAATGGCAGTTTCTGGTACCTTTGCAGACTATTCCCTAACATGCCCTTTACACATAAATTCAGCCAACTGAAATCAGAGCAATATTTGAGCTATGGCCTTTTTTCCCTCTAAAATGCTACCAAACACTAGATCTCTTAGTTCTTTCATATTTTAAAGTGCACAGATGCCTGATTTCAGATTCTGTGAAACAGAGCACAAATTAATATTTACAAATGCTTTCTGTCTCAGGACCCCTCTGTAGCTACTAACTTCACATTTGGGAAAAAGTAGACCCTACTCCATCCCACTGTGCCACGTTGTTTACCAAAAGTATCCCACCAGGCACTTGTATTCCTCACCCACGTGTATTACTTTAAAATGCCTTTCGGTAAAGGAGAATTTGAATAGCATTTTACGCATTAACTGTCTGGGAATGCTCCCAACATAATATACTGAAACACAGAAGACTGGCTGTAGGTCCAGATCACCTGGTAGTGAACCATGGAAAGGTATTATTCACACACCTTGGAGCCTGCGGATTCTCTAAGCCTTCTTAATCATTCTTCAGGTATTACTTTGTCCTTCAAAACAGCAGATTTCAGACGCATTTATAAAACAATTCAGTTGTAATCTGGGTCCCTAAAGCTTCAGTATAGACATTTATCTTGTAAGTAACAAAGAGATGGGAAGATTTCCTAAGTTCTCATGCTATCCCACCTCCTGCTTGTGTTACTCACTATTCAAAATTTAAGAATAAGAAGTCATCTGGGAGAAAGGGGATGGGACCGAGCATCCCTGAAACACGGCTCAGGGCTTGGTTCCCTCCTATGCCCATCACCTGCTCCCTCACTCAACCACAAACACGGCTGCAATATCAGGGTCAGTGTTCCACATCCCGTAGCAGATGACCCTCTGTTCCAGAACAAACAAAGTGTGCACCCTATAAGCATGATGACATTAGAATTAGACTTCAAAGCTAGCCTCAAGATGCTCACAGACTGATATTAACCACTGTCTGCCACAAGCATATGGCACAAGACAGGCTGGAGCAGATCACAAGGAAAGACTCGTTGGCATATTGGCCCACAATACTGCCACAGAGGCAGAGCTTAGAGAGGGTGCTAGGCAAGGCATTCATCCGCTATTTCACTCTGGAAAGGGGATCAGTTGGGGGAAAAAAATCTGCAAACCTTTTGAGGACAGAAGGCAATATTGCTTGAAATTTATGAGTAATGAGCCATTTTGGGAGAAGGAAGTTGATTCTGTCATTCATTTTGACAGGGCTTATTAACACAAAAGGAGGAGAGGGCTGGTGGGGAGGGTGGGGCACTTGTGGGAAGGTGCAGAGAGGACAGAAGGGTGAAGCCAGCCAGGCAAATGAGAATGAGAAATTGCAATTATGGACCTTATGGAGGAGCTGCTGGTAAGCTACCCTGGCCAAAGGAAAATGTTGATTGGACCAATTTTCAGAGGGAAACAGACAGCTCTTCTGCAAGCAGATGGATGACAAATCTCTAGGAGGAGGCTGTGTTGTTCATGTGTGAAATGGTCTTAGCCAAGGAGTAAAAGCGCCAAGCCATGTATGTAAGCAGAGCCACCTGGCCTGTGTGTGGTGGTGGGGCCGAGTGTGTGTGTGTGTGTGTCTGTATGTGTGTGTGTGTGAGAGAGAGAGAGAGAGGCAGAGAGAAGGATGGAGAGACACTGGCAGCAAAATCTCTTGCTGAAAACTCCAGGACACTTTAACCAAGCAGCCCCCATTTGTACATCTCTGTCTATCTCTGTCTCTCTGTCTTGTTTTTTCCTTTCTTGTTTCCCTCCCCCTCTATCCAGCATCCCCTTGCTGCTTTAACCTTTTCCCCCATCTCTTAGATGTATCTTGTCCTGTGGAACTATAAGATCCAAAAACTGGGGGAAAGAAAAAAAAAAAAAGACCAAGTAGAGGCAGGATCGAGATTAAAGTGGCCAGAAAATAATCTGCCAGCAGAGGCCAAGCTCAGAACAAGCCCTTCAATGCCGCTCACCTAAAGCCCCGC
This sequence comes from Homo sapiens, assembly GCF_000001405.40. Classification (NCBI taxonomy): domain Eukaryota; kingdom Metazoa; phylum Chordata; class Mammalia; order Primates; family Hominidae; genus Homo; species Homo sapiens. The sequence goes on from NC_000006.12 coordinate 16,426,993, forward strand.
CCCCTCACCAATAAAGTCTATTCTCATGGACCAGATTGTATGTCGGAGAAGAGCAGGAGGCATCTTTGTGGATGGACACGGTCTAGATCCAGACATGGAACTCTCCATGTCCTTGACTGGGGGCCATGCTTCTCTCCAGTACAGATGTGGCAGACATCCCTTCCCAAGCATTCGAATTGTTCTTTTAAGGTTAAGGTAAACCAGGGTTTCTCAGCCTTGGCACTGTTGACATCTTGTGCTGGATGATTCTTTGTGGTGGGGGCTGTCCTGTGTGTTGCAGGATGTTTAGCAGCATTCCTCACTTCTACTCACTAGATGCTGGTAGCTCCTCCCCAGTCGTGACAAGCAAAAATGACTTCAGACATTCAGACATTGCCAACTTGCCCACGGCGGAGGGAGCAAAATTAGAATCACGGAGGTAAATTTTATAGAGAGTTGGCTGGTTCTAAGTGGAAAACTACTCTCTTATTGCATGAAGGTTAAATGCACTCACATGTGACACACACTCACATTCATAAACACACACACGATACAATGACAAAATCCCTAAGACAGAGTGGTCCTCGTTTCTGATTTTTCCACACTTTCATTTGCCTGATTTGTTGTAAATGCCTCTAAAGTTTGAGCAGAACATCAAGGGTTCCGTTTTCAAAGTGACCTCAACTGCCTCCAGCGTTTCAGGTGTTGAGCTCTAGAAGCCAGGATGGAAGTTTTCAGGCAGATACAACTCCCAGGCTTTCATTCAGCTTCTATAAAACAACAGTGCACACAGGCACATGCCTCATCACCAGTGTCTGCTGTGTGCACCCAAAAAAGAAAGCAGACGCAGAAAGATGATTGAAAATGTATTCCATAGGGCTCTAGGGTTGTCTTGAAATGCTCTGTTCTGAAACACTCTATAAAAATTCCTCACAGATTTTCAGTGACTAGAGGCATGGGGCTGTGGGAGGGGGTGCTCAGCTGCACTCTTTTATTATTGAGCTGATTCAAAGGAACAGATTTTATGTTGATAAATGTACCTGATACTGACTTTAATGTTCATGGACTGGGTCTTTTCTATCTGTAAAATATGGTTGCAAGGCTTTCATGGACAAGACATGGCCTCTTGTCTCTGGTAGACCAGGCCTTTTTTTTTTTTTTTCTGAGATGTAGTTTTGCTCTTGTCACCCAGGCTGGAGTGCAATGGGGCAATCTCGGCTCACTGCAACCTCTGGCTCCCAGGTTCAAGTGATTCTCCTGCCTCAGCCTCTGGAGTAGTAGGGATTACAGGCGCTCACCACCATGCCCAGCACATTTTTGTGTTTTTAGTTGCGACGGGGTTTCACCATGTTGGCCAGGCTGGTCTCAAACTCCTGACCTCAGGCGATCCACCTGCCTCGGCCTCCCAAAGTGTTGAGATTATAGACATGAGCCACCATGCTCAGCTGACCAGGACTAGTAATAGCAAATACTGGGTTGGTGCAAAAGTAATTGTGGTTTTTGCCATTGAAAGTAATGGCAAAATCACAATTACTTTTGCACCAACATAATATTTCTTAAGCGCTTGCACTGTTCCAAGAGCTTGACATTCATTTAATTATCACAACAACTTTTTGAGGTAGCTATCATTATTAAGCCAAGTTTGCAAATGAGGAAAGGAGACAGGGAGAGTTTCAGCACTTACCCCAATTACAGCACAAGCTGATGCCAGAGGGAGATTTGAACCCAGGCTGGCTCACTCCAGCTAACACCCAACCATCACATGCAGGGCCACCCTGCTCTGCTAACACATTCACACAACTCACTACACATCACCAGACCGACGTGATGCTTTCTCCTAACCATAAATAATAAAGGGACTCAGAAGCCCCAAGTGGGGAGAGGTTAATGGGTTTGCGGTTAGAAGGCTTTGCGGAAGAGGGGATGGGAGCTGGGCCCTGAAGTAGAGGAAGGATTTTGACGGGCTGGGTCAGATGGAGGGAAATATGGCGATGAACACGCACAGAACATTAGAATTACAATGTGAAGTAAGGTTTGGTTGGGACATAGGCTGCCAGTGGAGCAGTGGGGGCGGCGAGGGTAGGGGGGTGGGAGGTCACCTGCTGGACACCCTGGCGACCTGTTCCTGCACCTGTTCCCTCCTCACTAGGTGATGGAGGCAGAGAGGACACTGAAGAGAGGAGACATGAGGGCTGTGCGGTGGCCCTGGTGCATCATTTCCTAAGAACCCTAAATTTAAATTCTCTGCCCTACTATTTCTTCCCCATAGACAGAGATCCCTTAGTTCTTTCAAACTCCTTTTTCCTTACTGACTGTAGAGACCCCAAGTTTCTCACTGGCACTGCAAAATATATGCAGAAATTTGACAGTGGGTGATAACAGGATGTTTGGAGTCCTTTTAGCATTAAAAAAAAAAACAACCAGTAGCAATAGCATCAGAGTATTTTTTGTTCGTTTTTTTTTTTTTTTTTTGAGAAAGAGTCTCCTCCAGGCTGGAGTGCAGTGGTACGATCTCAGCTGACTGCAACCTCCGCCTCCCAGGTTCAAGTGATTCTCATGCCTTAGCCTCCCAAGTAGCTGGGATTACAGGTGCCCACCACCACGCCTGGCTAATTTTTGTATTTTTAGTAGAGATAGGGTTTTGCCATGTTGGCCAGGCTGGTCTCAAACTCCTGGCCTCAGGTGATCCACCCATCTCGGCCTCCCAAAATGCTGAGATTACAGGTGTGAGCCACTGAGCCTGGCTGGAGTTTTCTCTTATCATAGAAGCATTCTGTGTTTCTATGAGTTTTAGGCCCATTCGATCCACATAAAAACCGCAGCAGGTATTACCACCTCCCTCTTGACAAACGGGGGCATGGAGGCACAGGCAGTTCAGTGATTCTTTTCTGAAGATCACGTGGTGACTGTGGGACGTGGAGCTCAAACCCAAGTCTGTGGATTCCTAGCTGGAGGCAAATTCTACCACATCACATTTTTAAGTACACGTGCCTGAAAAGCTTGCCACTCAGGCAAAATCACAATAAGACTCAGAATCCGTAAGCGACTAAATTTGCCTGGAGTGACATTATTTTTGTGGCGGGTGTTGAGACTGAGAATAGAGTTAAATGTTAGGAAAAAAATTCTGAAGTTTACTGATACATTGCTTGGACCCCAAAGTCCCTGCACTCCTTAGACAAGTGTTGGAGGGAAACGGCCACATCAGGGGTGAAGTGGCATTTATCCACTAGTATACTCCAAGATGTCGCGAGTCCCTGAATCCCCCACATCTCTGATTTGGTCTTCCAGCAACTATTGGAATAAGGCTATATGATTTGTGCAACAACAATGAAAAGAAGGCAGGAAAGAGGGAAGGAAGGATAGGAAAAAAAAAAAAAGAAAGGGAAAGAAAAAGAACACCGTACTGCGACCACTAGTTATTAACAGCCCAGCCTGTGGTACACAAAGCTGACAGTTATTATGAGTAATTAGCACAAAGGAAGGTTCTGTATACACACTATTTCCAGACATGTTTTTGAAACAAGGGCTTTGCCTTTTACCACCAATAATTTGTCTTGTTGTATGTTGTTACTTACACAGATGTTCCATGATTTTTTGCATATGGCTCAGCCAAAGAAAGCTTTTTCCCCTTCCATTTTTGGGAAAGATGCAACTGACTGTGTAAGGGAGAGGAGAATGTCTAGTTTTTACATAATGTCTATGGCGATGATAGGGGTGCAGTGGCTGGTGCTGCTGGTGTGTGTGTGTGTGTGCGCGTGTGTGTGTGTGTGTATGTGTGTGTAGTAACAAGATTCCCCACCCAATCTTGCCAACCATATTTCATCTAACTCTCTTGACTGAGTCATTCCTATGGGATTAGGGAGTACTGCGTACATCCAAGGTTCGTGGTGTTTGCTGAGATAACACATTATCAAAAGCCTCTCTAAAAAGGGTTGAATATTTACAGAAGAAAAAAGAGGCGGGAGAAATGTGAATGCATTTGAGATTTTTTTGTTGTTCTTTCTTGGCAGTCTTTACAACTGACAACAGCAGAGCCCTCTCATGTTTCTATGACCTTCCTCAGCACAGTCCGGAATGCACATGTACGGTATCAGAGAGCAGCCCGCCTCCATGTTTTCTTGGGAAGGAGGGTCTGTGCAGATGTGGGGTTTTTTTGGGGGAAATGGGTGTGGGGGTAGGAGCAGGAGCGTAGATAGGAGTGGTGAGATTAAATCCAAGCATACCAGGTTTTTAGAATAGAGAAATACAACTGGCTGAAATTATCAGGGAGGAAGAGCAGACTAAAAAATATACATCTCTTTTATTGCAATACCACCAATTGAGAGAACATTCTGCTGGGGGGGATGTCTGCCAAGGACTTCTAATTCAGTTTGTTCCACCCGTTTTATTTTTAAACTCGAGTGCAGATTTTATTCCTGGAATGTTATAAGATTGGTGTGGGCAGAAATGGGCAAATTCACTTCAGAAGTGCTTTATAACAACTTGGAAAAGACCCTCTAAAATTCTCCAAGTACATTTTAGGGGTGAAGTTCATTTCTCTCTTTTCTGAAGAAAGCTGCCTTGATTTTGCAGAAGTAAAACTCGAGTATAATTTTGAAAGCATTTCAAAATAGTGATGCTATCTATTGGGTATTTAACTATTTTCCAGGGAGTATTATAACAATTTGCATAGTCTCTCATTTAATTCTCACAACTACCTCATCACCCCCATTTACGGGCAAGAAACTAAGGCAGGGAGAACTGCCAGAGTTGAGTTCAAATCCAGATCTCCACGATATCAAAATCCTTCTTCGCCACTATGCAACTGTGCTTTCGTGTATTCATATCCAGGACATCATAAACTATCAATACAGACGATGTATTAAATAAATATACAACTTGGCCATCAGGCTACTATTTATCATTCTAACAGGATGGGGGCAAAAGCAGATTCCTTAGCCTGCTTTTCTGATGAGAGATCGCGGGGGAGCCAAAGGCAGTTTGCAAAAGAGGACCAGTCTCTGCGCAGGAGTTTTGGTGGTAAACATGTGAGGGTATCCAGAGAGTGATGGAAATGGTGGATAATCTATTTATTTTGAAATACCAAATGGTACTAATATAAAAACTTGTTCAACCTACTTTGGCAACATTAAATATGAAGGGAATGTACCTTCTTCCCCTCCTCCAAAAGTATTTACTTCAAAAATCGATTTCCTCTGTCACTGGTTATTGCTGCATTTTGCTCAGTGGTTCTGAGAAACCGCATGGAAAATCACAATGTTACACTCGTTAAATTGACCCTGCAGGGCTCTACCACCAGTACATGCATCATCCCAAGAGGTAAAAAGGCAAGGCTGCCAGGCTCATGCTGAGAATATCATCATGAAATCAACGAGGATATGCAAATCTCTCTGTTCCATAGCTCATTTGCATGGTTTTCATTGGTTTTGTAGAACCTCTATACTAAATGTCAATTTCCTTTTCTTTCCTAAAGCTTATTAGCTGTGTGTGATGTTTACAGCTTGAAGACCAAACAGATTTAATAGTTAAAACATTTAAACTATATAATTTAAAAGCATGCAAGGAAGAGGGAAAAAAAGAGGCTCTGATGTAGATCAAACATGTAGATATATTTGTGCTGTTAAAATATGCTTTCCAAGTTTGGAAGATGCGGAGGCCTCATGCATGTCTGTGCACACATAAGCACCACCACAAAATTTGCTTAACCTATTTCTTTTTTCTTTTCTTCTCTTCTTCTTCTTCTTTTTTTTTTTTGCAATGATCTAGAAGAAGCAGAGACATTTGCTTATAAACTATGAAGGGCTTGAACCCAGCCACTGAGTACACATTTTACTCACAATGAAATCTGCATGGAAGCCTGCCAATGTCTGGGCTGACATTCAAACATTCCAAGTTTCTATGTATTTCAATCTCTCAAAACTAATGTTTTAAAACTCTTGATATTTTCTGAGGCACTACACAGTTCAATCCTCACCTCTCAGTTCAGAGTGAATATACAGCAATAATTCTGCTTGAAAGAAGTGCAAAGAAGGTCTTTTGCTGTGCAGCATGTAGCTCGATCTACCGCAACAATACAATGAATAGGTTATGGGTTTTGTATTATTATTTTCCTTTGTGCATCAGATCTAGAAACAGGGTGAGAAAAGAAGGTTGAAGAAATCTTTTAAAAATCTATAAATATTTAAATATTAGTTACATAGTAGACAATGTCCTATAGCCATGCTTTATGGAATAAAGCATAGAATCTTTTGCATTTCATGTGGCATCTGAGTACATTATCTACTGCTACTAGTTATTAGTTCACAGCTCTGCCAAGAGGTAATTGGTGATCCACACCTTCTGAATACTTCTTTTTGGGAACTTTAGCACAATTAGCTGATACCTCAAATTTCACCTGGACCGCAACAGAAACAGCTGTTCAACATTAAATTAAATTTTATAGTTGTTGGCTTTAAGGAGGATAAGAAGAACTGAGTGCTCCAAGGAGATTTTAGAGGTGGGCAAAAAACAGCAACCTGCCCCTACAAGCAAAGAGAGATGTCCCTCCTGGTTAAGCACCCCTTTGTCACGTGCAGCCCAGAGGAAGTTGTGATAAAGCATCATTTGAAAGTTTTAATGCCGTTGGGGCTACAAGCACATTGTCTTGATGGAATTCAGCTGTACAGCTCCTTACTGTCAAATACGATCCATTCTGTTTTAAATTCCTTTAACTGTGACAGGCAGCATGATGAAACAGGTGCATTAAGTGCATGAAACAGAACAAAAGTAAGAAAAGTGCTCAAAGGAAGGCCAGAAATAGTGAAGCCAGAGTGACAGTCTGCAGACCTGGGTCTCAGCAGCTCCGCCCAGGAGTTCCTGCCGGAGCTCAGGCGAGCCACGGATCGGCTCTGTGCCGCTACCTCCTCACCTGCCAAACGAGGGTCACGACGCGTCCTCTAACCTCAGAGAATTTTTGTGAAATTGAGAAACTTACAACAAGCACTCAGCAAACATGGATGCCAAACTATTATCTCATAATTCAATGTGCCCAAATCAGACTGAAACAAGTAAAACCCCAAATTAATTTGACACCATATGCTATGGGTTACATTTTCCAAAAGCCTTCGGAAATTGGCATTTATAATATTTGTGGGTTCATCCTTCTCCATGTACAGAAACATGTGCACACATCAAAACAGACCCAGTTAAGTCTTAATTATCTAGTGGAAGATTATCCAAGATTCTTACTGTTTCTCCCTTTTCCTGTTGCCCATTTTTAGCCTTTTTTGGCAATTCCTCCACTATTAAAGAAAAGAGATGGCATGCAAATCAATCAACCCCTTTCCTTCTTCACTGTAATTTCAATTATCTGTGCTACCTCAGCCTCCGTTGGCATGGATGGGCGAGGAGGTGCTATCTTTGTCCTCAGAATTGGATGGAAAACATTCATCTGTGTTATTGGGAAATGATGTGAACTTAATTTCTCTTTCCCTTCTAAAACTTTGCTTACTGAATGGAAATGTTCCTGAGATCTGTTTATTTGGTTCTATATTTATGTACCTCCCTTTTAAAATAGAGAATACATGTTAATGTTTCTTTGATGACTCAGTGTGTATTATCGGTAACAGTCCATTCATGATGTTGCCATACCACACAGCATAATTTTCTATCTGCTTCTGATTGATTCTTCATTCTCCCTTGATCTCAGTTTGTCATTTAATACATCTAAGTTTTTCACTCAACAAATCAAATACTGATGGAGAATCTGCTATACACCAGGCACTGTGCTGCTAGGAGCTGAGGATTGAACGGGGAGAAACAGGAAGCTCCCTGCTCTCATAGTGCTTCTTAGTTGGGGAGAAAAGACATTCATGATATAATCACATAAATACCTATTTTTATATGTAAAAAATGTTGTCAAAGAAAAGAACGGGGTGATGGGAACAGTTGGAAGAGGTGTAAAAACTCCAGAGAAGCTGTGGCTCCTAGAAAGAAGGTAGGTTTTAGGACTAGAATGGTGATAGTGGGCCGGAAGAGAGAGAGTGCATTCGAAAGACACTGAGGAGATTGCATCAGTAGGACTTGGTGACACATTAGATGCAGAGGAAGAGGGACAGAAATGCTTCAAGGAGGACTTTTAGGCATCTGTCTTGGGTAACTAGATGATGCCAATGGCTGAGATGGGGAATTCTTGGGTAGATGAGGTTTGGTGGGATGGTGATTGTTATAACTTTGACTTTGAACGTGCTGAGTTCAGGTGACATTGTGATACCCCAAAGGAGGTGCAGAGTAGGTAGCTGGAGACACAGGCCCGAAGATGATGAGAGGTCTGGCCTAGAAACATGGATGCAGGAGTCATGGATCCATCAAGGCACTGTGAGTTTGGATGAGATCATCTAGCAGAACACTTAAGTGGAGAAGCAAAGTGGTCTAGAGACTAAGCCATGAGGAACTCCAACACTTAGAGGCGTAGAAAGCAGGTAGAAAGGGAACACCTGAAGACTTAGGAAGGAGGGGCCAGAAAGGGATGATGGCACCCGAAGACAGTGGTGTTCAGGAAGCCAAGGGAGGAAGGTATTTAGACAGGAGGGGGAGAGCAGAATTGGCAAAGCTGTGGAGAAAGTGAGATGAGAACTCCTATTAAAAACACACAACTGGTCCAATGACATGGGATGGCATGGAAATCACTGATGACCAAGCAGGAGACAGGGGTGGACCGCAGGGGAAAAAGAGCAAGCTGAAGCCAGCTAAGGAATGTCCTCGGGCCATCTCCTAGCGGAGGCGGTAGAGCCGTGGTTGAAGGTACAGGAAGTGGACTGTTAGGGCCCAGGTTCCCCTTAACCATGAGACCTGAAGCAAGTTACTTTATTTCTCTAGGGCTCAATTTTCTCACCTGTAAAACAAGAGTAACAGTGCTCACCTACTAGGTTGCTGTGAGGTTCTTTTTCTTTTTCTTTTTTTTTTGGAGACAGAGTCTCACTCTGTCACCCAGGCTGGAGTGCAGTGGTGCAATCTTGGCTCACTGCAATCTCCACCTCCCGGGTTCCAGCTATTCTCCTGCCTTAGCCTCCTGAGTGGCTGGGACTACAGGCGCCTGCCACCACAACTGGCTAATTTTTGTATTTTTAGTAGAGATGGGGTTTCACCACGTTGGCCAGCCTGGACTCAAACTCCTGACCTCAGGTGATCTGCCTGCTTCAGCCTCCCAAAGTGCTGGGATTACAGGCGTGAGCCACCACACCTGGCCTTCTGTGAGGTTCTTAACATGTAAGCCACTTAGCCCAGTGGCTGACTCATAGTAGTTGCTGAATAAATGCTAATTTTATATTAACACCCTCATAACCCATTAAATCAATATTTATTGAGCATCCATCTGCCAGGCACTGTACTAGATGCTGACAAAGACACCCCCAACAACAAATAATTACCTATCCTCATGGAAATAAAAGATTTATAATGAAGTATTTTCCATTAAATGGTGATAGATGCTAAAAAGTTAAGCAGAAAAGGGGGCTAGGGTGGTGGTCTGGTGACCATTTTTTCAAGCTTGTCAGTCAAAAAAGACCTCACAGAGACAGTAACTTTTGGGGAAAAGCCTGAAGAAAGGGAAATAGAAAGCAATGTGGTGACTGGGGGAAGAGCCTTCCTGACAGAAAGAACAGAAGGTACCAAGGTCCTGGGGTGGGCTCCTGTGTGGTGTGTTGGAGGAACACCATCGAGGTGGTGTTCCTGGCACTGAGTAAAGGGGGTGGGGAGCAGGAAATGAAGTCAGAGGGTGGGGGTGACAAGTTCTTTGAGCCACAATAAAGTCTGAGGTCCTTACTCTGAGTGAGCTGAGAGGCACTGGAGGGTTTTGATCAGAGGAGGTACAGGGTCTGGACTACATTTTCACCAGTTCATGCTGGCTGTTGCATGGAGGAGATATTCTGAGAAGAAGCAGAGAGACTACTCAGGAGGTTACTGATGAACTCCAGCCAAGAGATGGTGGCACCGTGGACCAGCAGAATTGTGTAGGAGAAAAAGAGGCATCAAGGACAACGTCAACAACTGTGGCCTGAGTAACTGGAAGGAGATGGGAAGGCAGTGGGAGAAGCAGGTTGGGGTAGAATATCAAGAGTTCATCCCACTGAAGGCAGTTAAGAGACAGTGGGATATGCAAGCCTGAGGTTCAAAGAAAAGGCCCAGGCTGGAGAAGGTGTCAGTTTTGAGATGGTTTGAAGGCATCAACAAAAAACAGACCAGGTTTGAGGACTGAGCCCTGAGGCTCTCTCACATTTGGAAACCAGAGGCTGCTACTTTCCGCTACTTTCCACTCTGATTGTTCCACTTGTGATTAGGCTGTATCGGCTGTGGGTGGGAGTGCGTATCAGCACCACCCCCGTGGAAGGCTACTTGATGCGGATAAGTTCCATCCACTGGCAAACCCAAAAGCTACACATGTCTACATGGGAAGGGCTGTGCGGCACAGGTGCACAGCAGATCTCAGCGCTCTTCCCCTGATGTTTCTGCTCTTCCCATGCACTAAGGAGCTGAGCAAACAGCAAGTCAGAAGGCAGGGCCATGGTAAGCAGAGGCCAGAGGTGGCTGGGAATTAAAAGGACAACTTATAACCTTACTGTTCTGCCAAATTCCTACAGAACTGATAAGACTCCCTGGATACTTTTGTTGTATTATTTTCTAACAGAAAACATAGATAATCCAAGCTCCTTGTGTCTCTTCCTGCTTTAATTATAATTTGATTAACTTACAAATTATTGGTATTCCCTTTTGTTCCAGCCCATTTGAGGATATAATTTCTCTTCATCTCTTCCTAAATGCATAAGTTGGCTCAGCATAAAGTATAATTACTTGATAACCATGGAAGCTAGGTAGCAGAGAGTGTAAGGAGAGCTTCCTGTATTTTGAAATGCACTGTCCATGGACCTTGTCTGGGGAAGAGGGTGCCACACTAATTCTGGCCTTGGCTACTATGGGTGTTCAAGAAGCAGCATCATGCAATAGAAAGATGTGACACTTCTGGTCGGGACTTCTTATGGCAGTGGTCCCCAAACTTTTTGGCACTGGTCCATGAGGCTAGGGGTAGGGGGATCAGGCATTAGATTCTCATAAGGAAGGTACAACCTAGATCCCTCACATGTGCAGTTCACAGTACGGTTCACTTTCCTATGAGAAAGAATCTAATGCTGCCACTGATCTGACAGGAGGTGGAGCTTAGGCTGGCTGAGCTGGCTAATGCCGGCTCGCCTGCCTCTCACCTACTGGTGTGCCACCCAGTTCCTAACAGGCCACAGACCCATAATGGTCCATGGCCCAGGGGTTGGGAACCCCTGTGTTATAGGACCTGACACCCAATTTCTGCCATCTGAAAAGCAAAGAAAGATAACAATGGACTCTGTTGACTTTTTAGCAGAAATAAAAATTTCTTGTTTATTTTTTCTCCATTTTTTAATCCAAAATATTACAACACATAATAGGACACAGATACTGAAATAATACATTTAGTGCCAGCTTTGAGTCAGGTTTCATTGCTGTCAAGAGAAAGGTAAAGGTGATGTTCAATCCATCTCCCTTGTAGACAGTAAATTTTAATTAGTTTTAATTAGAAATGAGAAGTCCTACACCTCATCTCTACAAGTCTCCTGAAACATACCAAGATATTGTCTTTCTGTAGACTCAGAGCACGTATAATCAGATAACTGGTCCACTTACTGTTTATATTGTATATTTTATCCAAGAATGATTTATACCTATAAATCCAGCCAGGAGGATCTCAGAATAATATTTATGAGATAGACTGAAATTTAATAGCAACACTTCTTAAGTAGATGGACTATCAAGAAACTCTTAAAATAACAGAATGAAAAATAAGGTAGTGGCTCTGTATATAAGCCCCGTCAGCCAGTACACGGGAGGTACTCGATCAATGCCAAATGAAGGAGTGACTTCGTAAGAGGGACTAAGAAGCAATTCAAGTTGCTATTCTGGAATCTCTTGTGTAAGATGGGAATCAAGTCTAACAGAGTCATTAATAGAATTTAATAAGGAAAGCTTCCAAAAGAGGAAACTCCAAAGTTACCCTTTCATTACTGAATTTCTCAGATTCTCAGTGGATCTAAATTTAAACTGCACAGGAAACAAGGCCCTTTGTCAAAAGGTGCTAAATCTAACCTACACTATAAGAAGCACGTTTGCCCATCCTGTGTTCCATGTTATGAAGGGCCTCCAAGAATTTAAAAAGGACAAAATAGAAAAAGCAGAGAGTTCCTTTATAGTATTACTATCTAGCTACTAAAAGCCAAAAAGAAAAATGTGATGTCAATGGCAATTTGGCAACTACATTTGTAAAGTTATAACAAGCCAATTTTCAGAGCTAGAGACTTCTTTTCGCGGGGGGGGGGGGGGGGGGGGGGCGGGGCCGGGGGCGGGGCGGGAATAAGGGTTGGGGTGGGGTGGGGATGCTGACATCAGAATGTGTACCAGAGTGACTCAGGGGTTTTTTTTCAGCCTCAGAGCTACCATTTACTCAGCGTCCAGCGTCCTAACCAAGCCTAAACTTGATCTAAATTGTGTCTTTTGATGAATTAGTAGTGGTTGGTTTCATACTGTGTTAATTTGGAAAAGATACGTGTATTAATTTTATTTTCTACATATGTTAAACAAATAAAAAATTGAGCTTGTTTTGTTTTTCAAAGCACTTTGTAGTTTTCTTGTCCCTAAAAAGTATTTACTAAAAATCTGTGACCGAAATCAAACTTTTCATTTTGAAGTATTTGAGGTTTAATCCAGAGGCATAGTATTTAGCAGAAACATCTTCTCAAGCACTATTAAAAAATTAAAGTGGGGCCAGGCACAGTGGCTCACGCCTGTAATCCCAGCACTTTTGGGAGGCTGAAGTGGGCAGATCATCTGAGGTCGGAAGTTCGAGACCAGCCTGGGCAACATGGTGAAACCCCATCTTTACCAAAAATACAAAAATTAGGTGGGTGTGATGGTAGGCACCTGTAATCCCAGCTACTCGGGAGGCTGAGGCAGGAGAATCACTTGAACCCGGGAGGCGGAGGTTGCAGTGAGCTGAGACGGTGCCATTGCACTCCAGCCTGGGGGACAAGAGCAAGACTTCGTCTCAAAAAAAAAAAAAAATTGAAGTGGGGCCAGGTGCGGTGGCTCATGCCTGTAATCCCAGCACTTTGGGAGGTCTAAATGGGTGGATCGCTTGAACCCAGGAGTCTCCAGCCTGGGCAACATGGCAAAACCCCATCTCTACCAAAAATACAAAAAATTAGCCAGGCGTGGTGGCACATTCTTACCACAGAGACATGCCCCCAAAACAGATGAAAACTTTGATATTTCAAAAGAGCTAAAAGAAAATGAGGAAGTAAGAAGAGATAAAGGAACACTAATCCCAATAAAAACATTCAGAAATGAAGTGATTGGAGAAAACAAATAGTTGGATAGAGAGAGGCAAAAGAACGTGGGAAAGAATTTGAAGTAAAAGAAAAAAAAAAAACCATTTTCTAGATGAAGACCAAATAAGAAGGAACACAAGAGGGAATACATACATACACCTTTAGTCCCAGCTACTTGGGAGGCTAAGGTGGGATGATTGCTTGAACCCAGGAGCCAGAGGTTGCAGTGAGCCAAAATAGCACCACTGCACTCCAACCTGGGAAACAGAGTGAGACCCTGTCTTAAAAAAAAAAAAGAAAAGAAAAGAAAAAATTAAAGCGGGAATTCAGGGAAGATGATGGCACCAGTGTCAAAGGTAGCACAGTTTAAAAAAATTTTTCAGAATCCCTGCCCTCCTCCTCCCTGCCAGTAACAATAGCAATGATAACAACAAAAACAGAGAAATTGGAATTACACAGCCAAAAACCCATGGACCACATCAAGACAAAATGAGGTTACTGTGTAGTCCATAAACCTGAAGACAGGAATGGGTGTGGCCGAACCATTTATAGTGACAGAGCCAGGCAGAAGCAATATCTGTGCAAGAGAAAGTTGGAGGAGAGGCAGTGGGCATCTGAAGGTTTTGGCACAACGGGCTCCCAAGCTTCCAAAGGTCCTTACGGCACGGTCAGCAGGGTGGTGAGCTATTTTGAGCACAGCAGCATCATTGGCAAGGGGTCCTGCAGAATCCAATTCATGGGGTGAGGGCAAGGAACCCTGGGAAGGTCTGAGGTGCTTAGGTGTTACGGAGCCAGGGCACTCTTGAGACCAACAAATCTAAGCTTCCTTCCACGACCAAATCACCTTGAGAAGAAACTTTTGAGAGCAGAATCTAAATCGAACATGGCAGTAATAATTTAGCCAAAGTGAAGGGAGGGGGCAGATCCAAGTGAAGGGAGGCAGAGAAGACGAAGCTAAGAAAATATAGGCCTTATTTTATTCCATGGAAACAACAGAAGACGGAGTTCTATGGCCTAGACACTAGAAAATATTTTCTGGCCCATCCCTTATCCCTAAAAATACAAGAAAACTCATTCCACTTAAAAATGAGTAACAAAATAGGATTGTGGTCAAATACAGTGCACAGTTATTATAAGAAGAAAAATCAGAGTAGCATTCTTACCACAGAGACATGCCCCCAAAACAGATGAAAACTTTAATATTTCAAAAGAGCTAAAAGAAAATGAGGCAGTAAGAAGAGATAAAGGAACACTAATCCCAATAAAAACATTCAGAAATGAAGTGATTGGAGAAAAGAAATAGTTGGATAGAGAGAGGCAAAAGAACGTGGGAAAGAATTTGAAGAAAACGAAAAAAGAAAATCCATTTTCTAGATGAAGACCAAATAAGAAGGAACACAAGAGGGAATACATACAACAGATAATCTTTGAGGAGTGCTAAAAAATAGAAAGGAGAAAGTGTTAAACATCAAAAAGAAATGAGGAAAGAAATAGAATTCAAGAGAAAGACTCAGAAAAGGAACATGAGCAAAGAAAACCCAACATAACACTGTAATAAGAGCCTTTGAAGAAGAAAAGCAATAAAAACAGCAAATGCTTAAAATCGTGACTGAAGCACAAATTCTAGAAGTAGAAAAAGATTTGAAACTATATATTGACAGAATACTCCATGCACCTGGAAAAACTGACCTAGGAAAGAAAACAAAAAAAAATTCTTTGGACACTCAGGTAAAATGACTGAGTTACCTATAAGGGACAGAAAATTAGAGTGTCACCCGATTTTTCAAGAGCCAGGCTTCATGCTAAAAGTCAGTAGCGTGACACTCAGGAAAGACAACTAAGCCAAGGATCTTATACCCAGCCAAAATGATCTTCCAGCCAACAACAATCTGTTATGAATATGCAAGGACCCAAGGAATATTGTTCGCAGAAACCCTTAGTAATCTGCAAGGGAGAAGAGTCAGGCAACCAGTCTGGCTGGAAAGGCACTGATACAAAGACTGGGTGAGCATTTAACACATAATCAGCTGTAGGTCTGTTACTGAAAGATGATTACAAGGAAACAATATTACATATAGCCAGAACGATATAATGACTATGTGCCCTGACAATATAGATAGTATAATGATTAAAAAAAAACACGCGGGAAGAATATGAAAGGAACGAAAATAATCTCACTAACATAGATGTTAAGTGGGAGTAAAAGGATATTACCTTAAATCAAATTATAGCCAGAGAAGAAAATAAGAAAGAAAGGGTACTAAGAATTTCAAAATCACTCAGAGTTGGAAACCAATAAACAACAGCTAAGAAAAGTTTGGGGGATAAGAAGGGTACCATATTAAGGAATTATTCTAAACATTTTTACTGGAAGGCTGGGCATGGTGGCTCACACCTGTAATCCCAACACTTTGGGAGGCCAAGGCGGGTGGATCACTTGAGGCCAGGAACTTGAGACTAGCCTGGCCAACATGGCAAAACCCCGTCTCTACCAAAAATCCAAAAATTACCTGGTCGTGGTGGCGCACACCTGTAATCCCATCTACTCAGGAGGCTGAGGCACGAGAATTGCTTAAACCCAGGAGGGTGAGGCTGCAGTGAGCCAAGATGGTGCCACTGCTCTCCAGCCCGGGTGACAGAGCAAGGCTTGGTCTGGAAAAACAAACAAACAAAAAAAATAGCGGGCATGGTGGGGCACACCTGTAGTCCCAGCTACTTGGGGGGCTGAGGCAGAAGGATTGCTTAAGCCTAAGAGTTCAAGGCTGCAGTGAGCCAAGACTGTACCACTGTACTCCAGCCTGGGTGACAAAGTGAGACCCTGTCTCTAAATAAATAAATAAATCTATTGGAGCAAAAAAAAAAAAAAAAAAAAAAAAACCTACCTAAATAGTATGATTGCTTATAATAAAAATGAAAGATATGCCTAAAAATGGTAAAAAGGAGAAAATAAAGCAGACAGGCATGAAAGACAGACTTCAACGACTTCACCTTGTTTTGTGGGTTTTGTTTCAGGAAAATTTAAATATTTTTATATAATTATTGAACAAGAATCACTTTTCAAAAGCCTCTTAGGAAGTCTCAAATTAAAGTAAGTGAACTCAAATGTATATCCAGTTATTGGCATAAACACACAGACTGTAACTATTCCAAATGACCCTAACATATTGTAATGTAATTGTCCATCTCTAGCCCAGTGGACTAAAAACCAATACAAAACTAAACAATCAAAATAAAAAAAACCTTAAACATTTTCAGTAAGCATATTGTTGCAATGTCACTGGCATTTTTGTTCGGAAATTATTGCAAGTGTAGTGTGGGAGAAAGTAAATGAGTAAATTGTGTTGGTGTGAGTGAGAACTGCTATTTTCAGTTTGAGAGAAAGAAAATACTGATGTAAAATGAATGAAGTTAAGTAAAAGCCTTGTGGCACATCAGTATAAACTCATGAGGTATTTTACCTTAAAAAATACGTACACACGGCCAGGCACGATGGCTCATGCCTGTAATCCCAGCACTTTGGGAGGCCAAGGAGGGCCGATCACAAGGTCAGGAGATCGAGACCATCCTGGCTAACACAGTGAAACCCCGTCTCTACTAAAAACAGAAAAGATTAGCCAGGCGTGGTGGCGGGCGCCTGTAGTCCCAGCTACTCGGGAGGCTGAGGCAGGAGAATGGCGTGAACCTGGGAGGTGGAGCTTGCAGTGAGCCGAGATTGCGCCACTGCATTCCAGCCTGGGCGACAGAGCGAGGCTCCGTCTCAAAAAAAAAAAAAAAAAGTACACACAATCGATCTATATCTATATCTAGAGAGACACAGATTTCCTATCACTGGCTGTGTCCACTGGAAAGGAAAAACAATATTCAACCCAGTGAGAACAGTTCCCCTGGGGCCCAGTCTTTGGTCTCCAAATATCATTTCTCACTGAAAGAAACCAGGTCTCCTTGGAAAAAAGCTGATCCCAGAGCTAAGGCAAGAAATGTACAAGATGAGCCTGGAACATAGTGTTATACTAGAAAGCAAGAAAACTATCAAAGACAGCCAGTATTGGATTAAAAGGACTCAGTAGCCAAACTGAATAGGATCCCAATGCTCAGACAGGGGACCATCTGAACATGAAAAAGGGTAATCACTGTCATGGACTGAAACACAACAGATATGCTGCAATCTATGAATTTACAGTCATGCTTTCAAAACACAGTGACTTGGTTTGACACTGTGAACTAGCTGTATCGTGCAAATTGGTAAATAGACAGAATCTAGTATATTATCCTGCTTTTCCTACAAAACCTGAAGCACCGGGTAGATAAATTACAGATGCAAGGAGTTTCTCTTCATGAACAATAATTCCTGCTAACAAATGAACAAATAATAATAGAATTAGACTACCACTATTTGCAATCCCTGATAAATTTATGAATTCAGATGACAGTCTCACTGCAAAAAGAGATGCCACCAACCATTACCTCCTGAAGGAAATACACAACACAACACCAACTATGAAGCAGTCAGGCAAAGCAAAGCAAACAAAACAATGCCTCTAGAACTTCCTAGCAATTCCCAAGAAATTCAGGAGACAGAGGGACATGCTTAGCAACACCACATGGAGGCAATCATCCAAACCCAGACGGGTGGGAAATTCTACCAGACAAATGGTCTGGTTTCTCAACAGAAAAAACTGCAAAATAAAAAAAAGACATAGGTGATACCGAGTAGTGTAAAAGAGGTTTAGGAGACCGAAATGACCTTTATTTGGATCTTGGTTCAAATAAACTATTAAAAAATCCTACAACATAAAATAAAACTTATTAATAAGTCAATTAGGAAAATATGAATACTGACGGGATATTTGATGATATTGAGAAATGACTGTTAATGCATTTTTTGGTGTGATGATGATGTTGTAGTTGTGTATGAGAAGAAGAATCCTAATCATTTATAGAAATAGTAAAATATTTTATAGATATTTTGAGTCAACAGCAATCTGTTATGAAGATGCAAGGTCCAGGGAATACTGTTATTTGGAATTTGCTTCAAAATAATCCAGGTGCAGAGGTGGAGTAGAGAAAACGATGTTGGCTCTGCTGCTGAATGGGGTGGTGGGGCAAAAGCGTTCATTTACCACCTCTCTGCTTTCAAATGTGTTTGATATTTCTTTTTTTTTTAAGTTTTTATATTATTATTATACTTTAAGTTTTAGGGTACATGTGCACAATGTGCAGGTTAGTTACATATGTATACATGTGCCATGCTGGTGTGCTGCACCCATTACCTCGTCATCTAGCATTAGGTGTATCTCCTAATGCTATCCCTCCCCCCTCCCCCCACCCCACAACAGTCCCCAGAGTGTGATGTTCCCCTTCCTGTGTCCATGTGTTCTCATTGTTCAATTCCCATCTATGAGTGAGAACATGCGGTGTTTGGTTTTTTGTCCTTGTGATAGTTTACTGAGAATGATGATTTCCAATTTCATCCATGTCCCTACAAAGGACGTGAACTCATCATTTTTTATGGCTGCATAGTATTCCATGGTGTATATGTGCCACATTTTCTTAATCCAGTCTATCATTGTTGGACATTTGGGTTGGTTCCAAGTCTTTGCTATTGTGAATAGTGCCGCCATAAACATACATGTGCATGTGTCTTTATTGCAGCATGATTTATAGTCCTTTGGGTATATACCCAGTAATGGGATGGCTGGGTCAAATGGTATTTCTAGTTCTAGATCCCTGAGGAATCGCCACACTGACTTCCACAATGGTTGAACTAGTTTACAGTCCCACCAACAGTGTAAAAGTGTTCCTATTTCTCCACATCCTCTCCAGCACCTGTTGTTTCCTGACTTTTTAATGATTGCCATTCTAACTGGTGTGAGATGGTATCTCATTGTGGTTTTGATTTGCATTTCTCTGATGGCCAGTGATGATGAGCATTTTTTCACGTGTCTTTTGGCTGCATAAATGTCTTCTTTTGAGAAGTGTCTGTTAAATGTGTTTGATATTTCTATAACACAAAGTTAAAGTTCCTTTGGTAATTTGGCAGTGTTTCTCAAATGTGGTTTCCCACAGCCTTCCTTTGGGGTGCCTGTTAAAATTCACATTCCTGACATCAGCTTACTCGGGGCACTTCTCAAAATTGAAAGCTGCCCAACCCCAGATTTGTGAATCAGAATTCCTGGGAGTGAAGCCCAGAAAACTGTATTTTACATACAGTATGCAGGTAGGTCTTCTGCACACTCCATTTTGCTTTAGTCATTTGCATGAAATAAATTATTTCTTTTTCAAAGGGTTTAACAGTTAAATCTAAAGTTTTTTTTCTATTAAAGGAACTTTACAGTGACCTAAAATATTCTTCACATGTTGTTGTTTCATTTCTGTAAAATATATCCTGTTGGTGTCATCTATCAACAAGTACATAGTCTTAAAATTTTTATTATGGGAGAAAGGGATCAGACCATACTCTCTACAGTTTGCTGAGCGTGTGGTTAATAAACTAGAGGAAATAGCCTAGAGTAACATGGATGAAGCTACAGAAATGTGCCTTTTGTATGGAAGACATGCTTGGTGACAGAGAAGATAAGTTTGCATTTTTAAAAAAGTGATTTGAACTCAGCTATAGCATTAGCATATATTCCCAGATTATACAACTATTCCTAGACTCACAAGCACTATTTTCCAAAAAGAATGTGTCCCTTATCCTTAACACACAGAACATAATTCTTTCTAATGATAGTGCTTATCACTAGAAGCCAGAGGCTTGTTGAATGACTCAG
The DNA here is from genome assembly GCF_000001405.40 of Homo sapiens. Classification (NCBI taxonomy): domain Eukaryota; kingdom Metazoa; phylum Chordata; class Mammalia; order Primates; family Hominidae; genus Homo; species Homo sapiens. The sequence continues at coordinate 16,447,127 of NC_000006.12, forward strand.
TTTCCCTGGAAAGTAAATATAGTGTACCGGGATGACAGACAATCAGAAACAGACATCAATAGCAAAGGTATTTTTTAATTGTATTTTTTAAAAATTTTTAATTAATTAATTTTTTTGAGACAGGGTCTCGTTCTGTCACCCACGTTAGAGTGCAGTGGCATGATCTCAGCATACTGCAACCTTGGCCTCTTGGGTTCAAACTATTCTCCTGCCTCAGCCTCCTGAGTAGCTGGTATTACAGGTGCCCACCACCCACCCAGCTAATTTTTGTATTTTTAGTAGGGATGGGGTTTCACCATGTTGGCCAGGTTTGTCTCAAACTCCTGGCCTCAAGTGATCCACCTGCCTCAGCCTCCCAAAGTGCTAGGATTAGAAGTGTTAGCCACCACACCCTGCCTATTTTTATTTTTTATCAAGGCAGAATCGCACTATGTTGCCCAGGCTGGTTTTGAACTTCTGGCGTCAAGTGATCCTCCCACCTCGGCCTCCCAAAGTGCTGGGATTACAGGTGTGAGCTACTGCGCCTGGCCTAATAGCAAAGGCGCTGATAAAAAAAATAGGAGAGCAGAAAGGGACAGAACCAGCACTTAGTAAGCATTACTAAAATGCTAGTTACACTCTTAGAAGCTTTATATAGGATTTCTAATTTAATCTTTATTGAAGCTTGTAGCTTTTAAACTTATTTAAAAGCCCCAAAGATTCTACCAACGGGCTTCAGAGCATCTGCGTTTTATTTTTAAATTGAATTTCTCATTATTAAGTAACTGTAGTTTCAGAAAAGCTCTCCATGTGCCATATAGTAGAATAACACTTAATTCAGGGGCTAGGGTCTAAAGTTCCCACCCAATGCAGAGTGTGTGGGTTCAAAAGTATCCTTGAAATTGTAAGGTGCAAATCAGATCCTAATACCATTCCACTCAAACCTTTCAATGCTTCCTATTACATTTATGGTAAAAACCACAGTCCTGGTCCATGTCAAGACTTAGAAGGCCCTACATGATCTGACCCCAACTATGTGAAACCCTCCTCCTCTTTTTTCCTGCCCATCTCCTCCCTATGTTCTGCTCCAGCATAGTGGCCTCCACACTCCCTTCCACATCCAGGCACAATCCTGGTCCTACCTAGAATGCTCCTCTGGCAAATGAGTTCTCTTCATTCAGGTCTCTGCTGTGATGTGTCCCTCCCTGGTCGCCTTGTCTAAAAGAGCAGGCCCCCTCTTCCCTCGCCCCTCTGATTCTTCTCTTCATTCATCACAGCTGATGTTACACCACAAAGTCCTTGTTGGTTTGTTTCCTGCGCTAGAATGATGCTCCTTATTTATTCATTACTGATATATCACAGGTGTACATATTTTGGGGGTACAAGTGATATGTACTATTGAATCCTAAAACTTACTCCTTCTATTTAACTGTATTTTTGTATCACCCATTAACTGACTTCTCTTCATCCTTGCTCAAACTGCAGCACCTATGAGTCTTAGCACAGAGAAGGCACTCTGTAAGTATTGGCTCAATAAATAAAAGTGTCTTACATTGCCCAACAAGGACACTATATACAGTTTTTGTTTATACCACCCTGTGCAACAATGCTCACATACAGTGGAATTTGAAAACCACTGAGCTAGGCTAAGGCCCAAGAGGAAAGCCTACATCAGATCTGTGTCTGGACGTCCACACCACTGCACCTTTGATGTCCCTAGCAGAGATCAAGCTTTTTTGCTTGCATGAAGGGTTTTCTTAACTCCATTTTGTTAGTAAGGCTCTACATCTTCAAGATTTGCCAACTGATTTATTTGTTGCTGTTGTTGTGAGGGTTAAAGGGGATAGCAAGAGTTCTTCTGAAGTTAGATTCTTAGTTACCCCGTTAATCAAATGTAACTTCCATCCTGGCATTGCCACAACTACTAATGGGCCAGACCATACTGCCAGGCTTGTGTAGATCTCAAAATAAAGGTATCCCGTCATCTCAGTGACATCCTGTTTCTCAGGTAGAAAGGTTGTAGCGCTACCATTGCTTTTTTTAAACATATAAACTTAAGTTCTCCCTACGTCCACTTGCATGAAATTTCACAAGTGAGCACCCTAGTACAGCATGAGTGTATCATGGACAATTAACGGCCAAGACCAGACAAAACACCCTGAGTTCTTGTCCTCAGTGAATTTTGGTATGTAATAAATAAACATGTAGTATAAAATGGTGTAATAAAATTAAATTATTGGCATTAAACTGTCAGACATACCATGCTTATGGTAGCCAATGTCAGAGATTAAATCTAAAGTTCAAGATTGGACCCACCATGCAAAGCAAAGACAATTTCTTCCTTCTAAAATTGAAAGAGATGAGCCCTCCCTCAGGCTTATGAGTTTCTTCTTCTTCTTGTTTTTTAAGTACATCAATGAGCATCTCATTAATGTTATAATTTAAAAAGTGTTTTCTCCCTCTAATGGAAGATTTAGGCTAGAGGAAGCTATCATTGGTCCTCCAAATCGCAGGCTTACCAATTAAAAAATGTAAATGGTTTCACATTGTTAGCGATATCAGCTTTGAAAGAAGCCATTTCTTTTCTTCCTTTTGTTTTAAGTGAACACGTTTTAAGTGGATAAGTTTAAAGGAAAACATATCCTGAGCTTGCAAGGTAACTGTTTAAAAAAATAAAACAACTCATTATTATTTGCAACTCCTTATTTTAGGGAATCAGGGTTTTCTCAATACTGCACAACAACATAAAAAATATACCTAACAACAAAAGGCAATAAATTGGAAACTGAAGTTAAAGAAGATTGCAGCTGTCATCTCTAACACTGCTTTCAAATTTCTGTGTTCATCACAAAGCTTCATTGTTCTTTCTTCTTGATTTTATAAGTCAGCATTACACGCTGAAATCTAACATACATTATGCTAACAAAATTTTCCTTTATTCGTTTCATATGTTGAGGTTTCAAGATTGTGTTTGAAAAAGAAGTAGAGACTAAAAATATTTGTAAACCTCCAAGTAAAGGCAATGAATGATACAGAATTTGTACCTGTGGGTGATCACTGCCATAGCTATATAATGCCTAAATACAGGAAAGAGAAGCAAAAGTTTACAAAAACCGGTCCTTGTGGGAACTATGCTCCCCTATATGATTGCAAACACTCAGATATAAGTAATATATGAATGACTTACTTAATCTTCCTCTTCTTTTTCACATGTTTGGGAGCAAGTAGGCAAAGCCTGGAACAATCACTGATGCAACATGTGTTTACACACATGCATGGTTCTTAGAGAATGGAAGGACAGGAGCTGAATAGTTCCATCTGCCAGTGATAATGTAGCTCCCATCACCCTTCCCATCTAGTGCTCTCTGATTCAAGGGAAGGAATGTGCTTTGGAAGAGAGGGCAGGGGCTTATTACTCAGAGAGACGTAGGTTCAAAGCCAGCACGTTTATTATTAGCAGAGTAACTCTGAACTGACTCACTCCCATTCCATCGAGCCTCTTTTATCTGCAACATGGAGATGCTATGAGTTTCTGAAGATTCCTTAATATCTCATAAAAATAACATAAAACCACCTCCATATGAAGTATTCAATGAATAGCTTCCTCCCTTCTGGGGACCTTGTAGAAATGCTGATGAGGCTGCTCCAGCGACCAAAATCAATGTCCAATCTTGGGAAAGGACCTTCTAGGTGAAGGATGTCAACCCCATTCCTAAACATCATGGAGAGGTCCTCTCAGAAATACAGGTGTCCATCCCCATCCTAACCTCTTTCAGCCTCACTTTAGTGGTTATCTGTGAACGCACCTGATCCATGAGGATTAAAAGGACAACAGGGGCGGCGGGGGTTAGAACAAAGATTAAAGTAGACCCCCCCAAGGGCCAACGCTATGAAGAGCCACATGGCCATTCCTTGAGAATTACTAATCATGAATCATTCGGTTCTCCAGGATGCTCCTTTGGCTTAAACCGAAGTCAATCTTTTCTAAGCATTAAATGGGGACATCTTCTCTTCCCATTTAAAAGCAAGCAGTTGCCACTTCAGCTGTACAAATTATATAGGATTGAAAATAGTATAACTGGTTGGGCACAGTTGCTCACGCCTGTAATCCCAGAACTTTGGGATGCCCAGGTGGGTGGATCACCAAAGGTCAGGAATTCGAGACAAGCCTGGCCAACACAGTGAAACACTGTCTCTACTAAAAATACAAAAATTAGTCTCTACTGAAAATACAAAAATTAGTTAGCTACTCAGGAGGCTGAGGCAGAAGAATCACTTGAACCCGAGGGCCAGAGTTTGCAGTGAGCCAAGATCACACCACTGCACTCCAGCCTGGGCGACAGAGCGAGACTCCGTCTCAAAAAAAAAGGCCAGGTGCAGTGCCTCATGCCTGTAATCCCAGCACTTTGGGAGGCCAAGGCCGGCAGATCACCTGAGGTCGGGAGTTGGAGACCAGCCCGACCAACATGGAGGAACCTCATCTCTGCTAAAAATGTAAAATTAGCCGGGCGTGGTGGCACATGCCTGTAATCCCAGCTACTCAGAAGGCTGAGGCAGGAGAACCACTTGAACCCAGGAGGCGGAGGTTGCAGTGAGCCAAGATCGTGCCATTGCTCTCCAGCGTGGGCAACAAGAGCAAAACTCCGTCTCAAAAAAAAAAAAAGAAAGAAAATAGTATAGTTGAAAGAAACGTGGAGTTTGTAATTAGAGTTCTCTTTTCCCCCATTCTCAAAGCAAACAGAAACAAATTTCACAAAAACAAGTTGTTTAAAAGGTTGCTATCCTCCTGTTTCTATCTTCAGTCTTGCTGTCTTTGTCTTTCTAAGATGCCAGAGAAGTTTCCTCTGCATATAGAAAATATTCTGGGATTTGTCTGTCTTGTGCCCTCACTAGGGAAGTCCCCTTAGGCGTCCGAATGTCAGGCCGTTCTTAGATTGCCTTTTTGCCTATAACACACGAGGTTGTAATGTGGCTCATGAACAAGACAGATGCCTACTATAGCAAGTAGAATTCTGCAAACGACATTCAATGACATCCACAGAGAGAAGACCTGCAACTCGGTAGAAAAGAAACACGATGTTTGGTCAACTGAGCACCAGACTGTGAGCTTTTTGAGGGTAAAGATTATGTTTTCTCCGAGTTCAGGGTGTATTGCTGGCATTCAATAAATATTTAGGGAATGAATACATGCAGGGATGAATATGTGATGAACAGGTTACAAATACGGTTCAGAATTCATAACTAGTAATGAATGATATGAGAAAGTAAACCTTTCCAGATTTTGTTGATAGCATAAGATTAAATTCAGCTGGAAAAGGAAAACATTTAGGATTATCCATCTCTGAGTGATTGTGTGTCAGTCTTCAGAGGAAAAACTGAATTTTTCTTTTAAAAAGCCAGTGGGACAGTCATTTCTGAAAACTCATTTGTGAATCAAAACCAGAGTAGACCAAGTGACTGAGCATTCCAATGAAAGGGTAAAAAAAGCAGAAATATGGCTGATTTTTTTCCCACTCTCACTGGTGTGAGATTTTAAAGACATTCCTTCCTGTCAAAAGGATGGCGTCAAATGTATTTTAAGTATCGACATAAACCTGCCTCTTCATATCCCTCTTGTTCTTATAGTACATCTATTCTTGTCTCATTCCACCACAACAAGTTTTATAATAGCAGGTAGGTTTGTGCATTTATCACTTTTATCTTTTGAAAATGTTACAGACAATTAATTCACATTAAAACTCTATTACTGATTTAAAAGTTCAAGATTTAGAATTTAAGGATTCTGATGAAAGTTTAGCGTAAACCTACTTTAGCTGACTAGATTTTTTAAAAGGTTTAGGAATTGTTTACCTCCTTTAAGCATTATTAAACTTACTTTATCACCATCATTTGCATCCAGACAACATGCTAGTCGAAAGTGATTTAGTCTTTAAAGTAATTCTTTATAAAATTTTATTAGATTTGGTGTGGAGGAAAAGTTGACGTGAGAAAATAAAAAAACTGGGTTCAAGGTCTGTTTTTGGTGTGTTTCACTTGTGTAATCTTACATAATCATGTTACTTTTCTCAGCATCAGTCTCATCATTGATAGAGGGGGTACACTCTCAGCACTTTGGGATGCCGAGGCGGGTGGATCACAAGGTCAGGAGATCGAGACCATCCTGGCTAACACGGTGAAACCCCGTCTCTACTAAAAATACAAAAAAATTAGCTGGGCGTAGTGGCAGGTGCCTGTAGTCCCAGCTACTCAGGAGGCTGAGGCAGGAGAATCGCTTGAACCCGGGAGGCAGAGGTTGAAGTGAGCCAAGATTGCGCCACTGCACTCCAGCCTGGGCGACAGAGTGAGACTCCGTCTCAAAAATAAAATAAAATAAAGAGGGGGTAAAAAACCATAATTGTCTAAGAATTGCTCTGAGGATTACATCAGTGTAAGGTAATGAACTTTACTGAAATGTATGCAAAAAATATCACTTTCATTATCATTATCATCATCATCATCATCTTCACCTGATACTTTAAAAACTTCAAATGAAAGAGGGTAAGAAAGAACCCACTGGATCCCCTACTCTGTACCTGGCATTGTGCTACAGGTTGTGCATATGTCACTTTTAGGTTACAACAACAGCCCAACTGTCTACACATAAATTTATATCTGCTGTATAGGAATAAACTATATTTCTAATTCTGGAAAATGAGGTGCAGAGAGGATTAAGTAACATGCTTGAATTCAAGTATGCTTCAATAATTAAATCGAAGCTGGGCGAGATGGCTCACACTTGTAATCCCAGCACTTTGGGAGGCTGAGTCAGGCGGATCACTTGAGGTCAGGAGTTCAAGACCAGCCTGGCCAACATGGCAAAACCCCGTCTCTACTAAAACTACAAAAAAGGTTAGCCAGGCATGGTGGCACGTGCCTGTAATTCCAGCTACTCAGACAATCGCTTGAACCCAGGAAGTGGAGGTTGCAGTGAGCTGAGATGGCTGGACTCCAGCCTGGGCAATAAGAGCGAGACTCTGTCTCAAAAAAAAAAAAAAAAAAAAAAAAAAAAACAGAAGAATTAGATCGATAAATATTTACTGAGTGCTTACAGTGTGCCAAGTACTGATTTAGGTACAGGGATAGAGCAGTGAGCTGAGCAGACAAAATCCCTGCCATCAGAGAGCTGACCAGGAACTGAATTCTTCTGAATTCAAAATCATTGTTTTCCCCACTCCATATTGTGCCAGTGCTTGGGGCTTGCACTTGCTCTCTCTAAAGGAACTACTTGTATAGAAAATAACATCTGGGCAGCAGCATAATTGCATAAATGGTTAACCCCCCCTGCTAGGGGCTCTGTAGCCTCAGGGGTCAAGGCTGCCTGAGGGCTGAGGCAATCCATACTTGGATATACCTGTAGCCCATTTGTAACAAACTGGCTTGAGAAGCTGCATTATCTACAGTGTAGCCAATGATTCAGGAATATCCCTAATTTGTACTGATTTCCTCCCATGTTAATTATTATTGCTACACAGTACATGTAATTGTATTATACAGAGACTGGAACAGACTTTCCACTCTCTTACTGCCATAGACTTAGTGCTTTTGGCAGGTCAGCAAGATGAGGTCAAAACAACCTTTGTAGTCAGCAGACAAAACTAAACAGCCATCAGAAACATTTTTAAAATATGCTATTAAATTATTATAGTAGACAGCAAAACCAAGAAATTAATGCAAAAGAACCAAGAGATTTCTTAATCTTATCACCAGTTCAGATTCAGAAAAAGAACTAAAAGCTGTGATCTGGGAGCTTGGATATTATAGCAATTAAGCAGCTTGGATATAAAAAGAGGTAGATAAGCTCACCTTCAGGGGGACTCAGCAGTGACCACCACTGTTATGTATGGAAAGGAGTAAAGGGAATGCGAGAGGATATATGAACTTGAGGTCAGGAAACATGTGGCAGGCATTGGGTTGGGAAGACTGTATTTACTGAGGATCTGAAGTGTGGCAAATGCTCTAGGAGACAGAAGGAAGGAAGGAGAGCATCTCTACAAGTAACACCCAATCTAACCAGGTAGTAAGACTCATCTTGATGTAAAAAAGAAGTAACCACACAACAGAGCTGTAGAAAACTTCACTATTAGAAAACAAACAACCCAGTTTTTAAAATGGACAAAAGACCTGACCAGACACCTTACCAAATTAGACATAGAGATGGCAAGTAAGCACATAAAAAGATGCTCCACATTATGAATCACTAGGGAACTGTGAATTAAAACAAACACAAGATACCACCTATGAAAATGGCCAAAATCCAACACACTGCCAACAGCAGATGCTGGCAAGGATGCAGAGCCATAGGAACTCTCAAGTCATTGCGGGTGGGAATGCAAATAGTAAGCTACTTGGGAAAACAGTTTGGCAGTTTCCTACAAAGCTAAACATACTCTTAACATGCAATGTGGCAAGCATGCTCCTTGGTATCTACACAAATAAACTAAAAACTTAAGTCCACACAAAAACCTGCACTCAAATGTTTATAGCAGCTTCATTCATAATCGTGAATGGGTACATGAACTGTGGTACATCCATACAATAGAATATTATTCAGCACTAAAAACAAATAAGCTTTCAGGCCATAAAAATGAGAGGTGAAGCCAGCTGGACTTCCTGGGTTGAGTGGGGACTTGGGGAAATTTCCCGTCCTACAAAAGGATTGTAAAACACACCAATCAGGAACTTTCCTGTCTTATAAGAGGTTTGTAAAGCGCACCAATCAGCACTTGGTAAAATGCACCAATCAACGCTCTGTAAAATGCACCAATCAACGCTCTGTAAAATGCACCAATCAGCAGGAGTATAAAAGTAGCCAATCGCAGGGAGGATTGAAAAAAATGGCACTCTGATAGGACAGAAACAGAATATGGGAGGGGACAAATAAGGGAATAAAAGCGGGCCACCCCAGCCAGCAGTGGCAACCCATTTGGGTCCCCTTCCACGCTGGGGAAGCTTTGTCCTGTCGCTCTTCACAGTTAACCTTGCTACTGCTCACTCTTTGGGTCTGTGCCATCTTTAAGAGCTGTAACACTCACCGTGAAGGTCCGTGCCTCCATTCTTGAAGTCAGCGAGACCATGAATCCACCGGCTGGAACCAACTCTGGACACATCTTGGGGGATCCTCCCAGATATTGCAACGTGGTGAGTACCATCAGACCCCTTTTGCTTGCTATTCTGTCCTATTTTTCCTTAGAATTCAGGGGCTAAAACTAGGCACCTGTCAGCCAGTTAAAAGCAACTAGCATGGCCACAGGACTAAGGACATGGATGTCAGGCTCTCTGGGAAAGGGCTCACTAACAACCCCCGACTGTTTGGAGTCAGGAGCATTGGTTTGCCTGGAACCAGCTTCTGCTTTTCCTGCACTTCCGGGCTAAGCCTAGGGTCGACAGAGAGGAAAGCCATTCAGCTCCGGGGTCTCAACAAAAAGTTGGTTGGCCCTGCAGCCATGAGCAGAACTCTCAAAGTTACATAGCCCAAACAAGACTCACCCATCTATCCTATCTATCCTGACCCTTGCCTCCTGGGTCCTAACACCTGTCAGACAAACTTTCTCCCGCCTCTCTTCTCCAAGGTTAGTCTTGCTTCTAAAAACCACTCCCTGTCCCTGGTGCTCTTCCAGTTTCTCCTATAAGGATGATTTCTAATATAAATTTCAGGACTCTGCTCCCTTCTTTAGGCACCCAGGCTCACCAATCAGAAAGACATAATTTTTGTCCAAAGCCCTGTTGTGGGGGACTATCTGGAATTTTAGGATCCCTCCTCAGACTAGCAGACCTAACAAAGGCTATTCCCAAAGCTAGGATAGGAGGAGACTCAGAAATTATATCCTTCCTATTCATATGATAAGTGAGGACAAAACGCATCACTCTTCCAACCCTGGAGATCCCTTCCTTCCCTCAGGGTATGGCCCTCCACTCCATTTTGAGGCATATTATCTTTATAGTACAAGGGTAAGGTCCTAATAACAACAGGAGAAAACACTTAGGACTCTAACAGGTTTTCAAGAATGCATTGGTAAGGGCCACTAAATCTGACTTTTCTCAGTCCTCTTTGTGGTCTAAAGACGAAAGGCAAGGGTGCAGGTTTTTGAGAATCCATTGGTAAGGGCCACTAAATCTGACCTTCCTCAGTCCTTTTTGTGGTCTAGGAGGAAAACTAGTGTTTCCGCTGCTGCTTTGGTGAGCACAGCTATTCCGAACAGCAGGATCCAGGGACTGTTGTGGGTTCTTGGGCAGGGAGAAGAGAAAAAAAAAAAAAACTGCAGGCGGTTTTTTCTTTCAGATGGGAAACACCCAGGCATCAACAAGCTCACCCTTGAAACGCATCCTAAGCCATTGGGACCAATTTGTCCCGCAAACCCTGAAAAAGAAGCGGCTTATTTTTTCTGCACTACGGTCTGGCCTTAATATTATCTCTCTAATAGGGAAAAATGGTCACCTGAGGGAAGTATAAATTACAACACTATTCTGCAGGTTGACCTTTTCTGTAAGAGGGAAGGGAAATGGAGTGAAATACCTTATGTCCAAGCTTTCTTTTTACTGAAGGATAATCCACAACTATGCAAAGCTGGCGATTTACATTCCACAGGAGGACCTCTCAGATTACCTCCATATCCTAGCCTCCCTACAGCTCCCCTTCCTATTAATGATGAGCCTCCTCTAATCTCCTCCATCCAGAAGGAAACAAGCAAAGAAATTTCCAAAGGACCACCAAACCCCTCAGGCTATCAGTTATGTCTCCTTTAAGCTGTAGGGGGAGGGGAATTTGGCCCAACATGGGACCTTCTCTCTCTCTGAATTAAAGCAGATCAAGGTAGACCTGGGAAAGTTTTCAGATGATCCTGGTAGGTATATAGATGTCCTACAGGGTCCAGGGCAAACCTTCGACCTCACTTGGAGAGATGTCATGCTATTGTTAGATCAAACCCTGGCCTTTAATGAAAAGAATGCAGCTTTAGCTGCAGCCCGAGAATTTGGAGATACCTGGTATCTTAGTCAAGTAAATGACAAAATGACAGCCGAAGAAAGGGACAAATTCCCTAATGGGCAGCAAGCCATCCCCATTATGGATCCCCACTGGGACCTAGACTCAGATCATGGGAACTGGAGTCGCAAACATCTGTTGACCTGTATTCCAGAAGGACTAAGGAGAATTAGGAAAAAGCCCATGAATTATTCAATGATGTCCACCATAACTCAGGGAAAGGAAGAAAATCCTACTGCCTTCCTCAAGCAGCTATGGGAGGCCTTAAGAAAATATACTCCCCTGTCACCCAACTCCCTCGAGGGTCAATTGATCCTAAAAGATGTTTATTACCCAATCAGCTGAGATATCAGGAGAAAGCTCCAAAAGCGAGCCCTTGGCCCTGAACAAAATCTGGAGGCATTATTAAACCTGGCAACCGCGGTGTTCTCTAATAGGAACCAAGAGGAACAGGCAGAAAAGGAAAAGCGAGATAAGAGAAAGGCCGCAGCCTCAGTCATGGCCCTCAGACAAACAAACCTTGGTGGTTCAGAGAGGACAGAAAATGGAGCAGGCCAATCACCCAGTAGGGCTTGTTATCAGTGTGGTTTGCAAGGACACCTTAAAAAAGACTGTCCAACAAGAAACAAGCTACTCCCTCACCCATGTCCACTATGCCAAGGCAATCACTAGACGGGGTACTGCCCCAGAGGACAAAGGTTCTCCGGGCCAGAAGCCCCCAACCAGATGATCCAACAACAGGACTGAGGGTGCCTGGTGCAAGCACCAGCTCATGTCATCACCCTCACTGAGCCCTGGGCAAGTTTAGCCATTGAGGGCCAGGAAATTGACTTCCTCCTGGACACTGGCATGGCCTTCTCAGTGTTAATCTCCTGCCCCAGACAGCTGTCCTCAAGATCCATTACCATCCAAGGAATCCTGGGACAGCCTGTAACCAGGTATTTCTCCCACCTCCTCAGTTGTAATTGGGAGACTTTGCTCTTTTCACATGCTTTTCTTATGCCTGAAAGCCCCACACCCTTATTAGGGAGGGACATATTAGCCAAAGCTGGAGCCATTAACTATATGAATATGGGGAACAAGTTACCCATTTGTTGTCCCCTACTTGAGGAGGGAATCAACCCTGAAGTCTGGGCATTGGAAGGACAATTCGGAAAGGCAAAAAATGCCCACCCAGTCCAAATCAGGCTATAAGACCCCACCACTTTTCCTTATCAAAGGCAATATCTCTTAAGGCCTGAAGCTCATAAAGGATTACAGGATATTGTTATACATTTAAAAGTTCGAGGCTTAGTAAGAAAATGCAGTAGCCCCTGCAACACCCCAATTCTAGGAGTACAAAAACTGAATCGTCAGTGGAGACTAGTGCAAGATCCTAGACTCATCAGTGAGGAAGTAATTCCTCTATATCCGGTTGTACCCAACCCCTATACCCTGCTCTCTCAAATACCAAAGGAAGCAGAATGGTTTCACTGTTCTGGACCTCAAGGATGCTGCCTTCTGCGTTCCTCTGCACTTGGACTCCCAGTTTCTCTTTGCCTTTGAGGATCCCACAGACCACAAAACCCAACTTACATGGACGGTCTTGCCTCAAGGGTTTAGGGATAGCCCTCATCTGTTTGGTCAGGCACTGTCCCAAGATCTAGGCCACTTCTCAAGTCCAGGCATGCTGGTCCTTCAGTATGTGGATGATTTACTTTTGGCTACCAGTTCGGAAGCTTCATGCCAGCAGGCTACTCTAGATCTCTTGAACTTTCTAGCTAATCAAGGGTACAAGGCATCTAAATCGAAGGCCCAGCTCTGCCTACAACAAGTCAAATATCTAAGCCTAATCCTAGCCAGAGGAACCAGGGCCCTCAGCAAAGAACAAATACAGCCTATACTGGCTTGTCCTTGCCCTAACACATTAAAACAGTTGTGGGGGTTCCTTGGGATCACTGGCTTTTACCGACTATGGATCCCCGGATACAGCGAGATGGCCAGGCCACTCTATACTCTAATCAAGGAGACCGAGAGGGCAAATATTCATCTAGTAGAATGGGAACCAGAGGCAGAAACAGCCTTCAAAACCTTAAAGCAGGCCCTAGTACAAACTCAAGACTTAAGCCTTCCCCAGGACAAAACTTCTCTTTATACCTCACAGAGAGAGCGGGAATAGCTCTTGGAGTCCTTACTCAGACTTGTAGGACAACCCCACAACCAGTAAGGAAGGAACCCCACAACCTAAGTAAGGAAATTGATGTAGTAGCAAAAGGCTGGCCTCACTGTTTACGGGTAGTTGTGGCAGTGGCTATCTTAGTGTCAGAGGCTATCAAAATAATACAAGGAAAGGATCTCACCATCTAGACTACTCATGATGTAAATGGCATACCAGGTGCCAAAGGAAATTTATGGCTATCAGAAAACCACCTACTCAGGTACCAGGCGCTACTCATTCAGGGACTGGTGCTTGAAATACACACGTGTGCAGCCCTCAACCCTGCTACTTTTCTCCCAGAGGATGGAGAACCAATCGAGTATGACTGCCAACAAATTGTAGCCCAGACTTATGCTTCCCAACAGGATCTCTTAGAAGTACCCTTAGCTAATCCTGACCTTAACCTATATACCGATGGAAGTTCATTTGTGGAGAATGGGATATGAAGGGCAGGTTATGCCATAGTTAGTGATGTAACAGTACTTGAAAGTAAGTCTCTTCCCCCCACGGACCAGCGCCTAGTTAGCAGAACTTACCCAAGCCTTAGAACCGGGAAAGGAAAAAAGAATAAATGTGTATACAGATAGCAAGTATGCTTATCTAATCCTACATGCCCATGCTGCAATATGGAAAGAAAGGGAGTTCCTAACCTCTGGGGGAACCCCCATTAAATACCACAAGGAAATTATGGAGTTATTGCACACAGTGCAAAAACCCAAGGAGGTGGCAGTGTTACACTGCTGAAGCCATCAAAAAGGTGAAGGAGAAAAGGCAGAAGGAAACCACTGGGCAGATGCTGAGGCCAAAATTGCTGCCAGGCAGAACCTCCCATTAGAAATACCTATGGAAGGACCCATGGTATGGAACAACCCCCTCCAAGAGATTAAGCCCCAGTACTCCCTGATCGAAACAGAATGGGGACTTTCACGGGGGCATAGTTTTCTCCCCTTGGGGTGGTTAACGGCAGAAGAGGGAAAGGTACTCATATCCGAAGCCAGCCAGTGGAAAATACTTAAGACCCCCTGCCAAACTTTTCACATGGGTTTGAGAACACTCATCAAATGGCCAAATCCCTATTTATGGGGCCATATCTCCTCCAGACCATCCAACAAGTAGTCAAAGCCTGTGAGGTGTGCCAAAGGAAAAATCTCTTGGTCCATCGTAAGGCCCCTTTTGGGGAACAAAGAATAGGTCACTATCCTGGAGAGGACTGGCAGTTAGACTTCACCCATATGCCTAAGTCAAGGGGATTTCAATACTTGTTGGTCTGTGTTGACCAACCAAATTGGATAGAAGCCTTCCCCTGCAAGACGGAGAAGGCTCAGGAAGTGGTTAAAGTACTAACTCATGAAATAATTCCCAGATTTGGGCTTCCCCAAAGCTTACAAAACGACAATGGTCCGGCTCTTAAAGCCACGGTAACTCAGGGAATTTCCAGGGCACTAGGGATACAATATCACTTTCACTGTGCCTGGAGGCCACAATCCTCAGGGAAGGCTGAGAAGGCAAACGAAACACTCAAGAGGCACTTAAGGAAACGAACACAAGAAACTCATCTCCCATGGCCTACTCTCTTGCCCATGGCCTTGTTGAGAATCCAAAATTCTCCTCACAAAATGGGGCTCAGTCCATATGAAGTGCTGTATGGATGACCTTTTCTCACAAATGACCTCCTACTTGATCAGGAAACGGCCAAGTTGGTCAAAGATATAACTTCTTTGGCAAAATACCAACAAAACGTTAAAAACCTACCCAAAGGATGTCACAGAGACAAGGGAACAGAGTTGTTCCAACCAGGAGATTTACTGTTGGTCAAGTCCCTCCCCTCTTCCTCCTCATCTATGGATTCCTTGTGGGAAGGACCATACTCAGTAATCCTCTCTACCCCCACTGCAGTTAAGGTGGCAGGAGTGGAATCTTGGATTCACTACATGCGAGTTAAACTTTGGACACCCCCTGAAGAACCTGTAGGACCATCAGCTCAGGAGTCCCAAGATCAGCCAGACCAGCCTCGATAAACCTGTGAACCATTGGAAGATTTGTGTCTCCTATTTCAGAAGGAAACATCCCAGACTAAAAAGGCCCCTATAGCTGATCCTAAGGAAAAACTCTTTCCTATTTAAAAAGGATAAGTGAAAACCTACATAATCTTTAACACCACTCCTTGCCCCTTTAATGGAATCCTTTTACAGTTTCATCACATTATTAAGCAGTATACTAACCATTCTCTTTGCAGCAGGACTATATACTGTAGCTCCTGCCGGGACAAAAATCCTAATCACATCAACCTTTTTTACATGCAATCCAGCTTTTACGCTCTTACATTTCCAACCTCACCTATTACATGAGCAATGAAAAGCCCTGTAACCGTGAATACCATCTTAACTTTCCAAGCCCCGTTATGCATCCAACGCAACCTGTTATCAGGCCTGCCCCTGGGGCACCTACTATCCCATCAGTGTAATTACACTCTCCAACTTCAAGCCCCAAATGATCATAGTAACTTCCAAGGCACCCAAACCGCTCTATTCAGATGGCTTGTCCGCTTCTCAGGGCCCCCAAAAATCATCACCTCCTCCCTGCTTAACAAACAGTCCAGGTTTTGTAATGGCAAACATACTCCCTGTATGACTATTCACCCCTGGACCCCCTGCAGCAGCACCCCCACCACTAAGGAATACCTTCTCATCCTCTCTTTCAATCACTCTCTTGAATGGTTCCTAGTAGATACAAAACAGTTTTTTCTCCAATGGGAAAATAGAGCACAGGGAGTCACTCAGTTTGCTCCCAACACCCCTTTCCAGCCACTCACCAGACTACCTTGGCAAGTACTCTAGGAGTATGGGAAAATGAAAACAACAAACTCACACACCTTTTTAACATACACAACCAGTTCTGTCTACCCAGCCAAGGCATATTCTTATGTGGAACTTCAACTTACATCTGCCTCCCCACTAACTGGACAGGCACCTGTACCTTAGTCTTCCTAAGTCCCAACATTAACATTACCGCAGGAAATCAGACCCTATCAGTGCCCCTCAAAGCTCAGGTCCGTCAGTACAGGGCCATACAACTAATACCCCTACTTATACGGTTAAGAATAGCCACTGCTACAGGAACCAGAATAGCCAGTTTATCTACTTCATTATCCTACTACCACACACTCTCAAAGGATTTCTCAAGACAGTTTGCAAGAAATAACAAAATCTATCCTTACTCTGCAATCCCAAATAGACTCTTTGGCAGTAGTGAATATCCAAAACCGCCAAGGCCTAGACCTCCTCACTGCTGAGAAAGGAAGACTCTGCACCTTCTTAGGAGAAGACTGTTGTTTTTACACTAACCACTCAGGGATAGTACAAGATGCTGCCCAGCAGTTACAGGAAAAGGCTTCTGAAATCAGACAATGCCTTTCAAACTCTTATACCAACCTCTAGAGTTGGGCAACATGGTTTCTCCCCTTTCTACGTCCCATGACAGCCATCTTGCTATTACTCACCTTCGGGCCCTGTGTTTTTAACCTCTTTGTCAAATTTGTTTCCTCCAGGATCGATACCATCAAGCTACAGATGGTCTTACAAATGGAACCCCAAATGAGCTCAACTCACAACTTCTACCAAGGACCCCTGGACTGACCCACCAGCCCTTTGGCCTAGAGTGTTCCCCTCTGGAGGGCACTACAACTGCAGGGCCCCTTCTTCACCCCTATCCAGCAGGAAGTAGCTAGAGCAGTCATCACCCAGTTCCCAACAGCAGCTGGGGTGTCCTGTTTAGAGGGGGGATTGAGAGGTGAGGCCAGCTGGACTTCCTGGGTCAAGTAGGGACTTGAGGAACTTTCCTGTCTTACAAGAGGATGTAAAATGCACCAATCAGGAACTTTCCTGTCTTACAAGAGGTTCGTAAAATGCACCAATCAGCACTTTGTAAAATGCACCAATAAGTGCTCTGTAAAACGCACCAATTAGTGCTCTGTAAAATGCATCAATCAGCAGGATTCTAAAGGTAGCCAATCGCAGGGAGGATTGAAAAAAAGGGCACTCTGACAGAACAGAAATGGAACATGGGCAGGGACAAATAAGGGAATAAAAGCTGGCCACCACAGCCAGCAGCAGCAACCCACTTGGGTCCCCTTCCACGCTGTGGAAGCTTTGTCCTTTTGCTCTTCACAATAAACCTTGCTACTGCTCACTCTTTGGGTCCATGCCATCTTTAAGAGCTGTAACACTCACCATGAAGGTCCGCAGCTCCATTCTTGAAGTCAGCGAGACCATAAACCCACCGGTAGGAACCAACTCCAGACACAAAAAGACATAGAGGAAACTTACACGCATATTGCCACATGAAAGAAGCCAATGTGAAAAGGGTACATACTGTATGATTCCAACTTTATGACATTTTGGAAAAGGCAAAGCTACAGGGATAGTAAAAAAAAAAAAAAAAATCAGGGGTTTTGGGGATTGGGAGGAACAAATAAGCAGAGCACAAAGAGTTGTTAGGACACATGTCATCTATTTGTCAAACACAGAATGTACAACAGGAAGAATGAACTCTAACATGAACTATAGACTTTAGTTAATAATAATGTATCCATATTAGTTCAATTTCAACAAATGTAAGATGCAAGATGTTAGCAGTAGGGACACTGTTTGTCAGGGGTCGGGGAGGCTAGGAATATAGGAACTCTTTGTACTTTCAAATCAATTTTTCTGTAAACCTAAAACTGTTCTATAAAAAAGCCTATTAATTAAAAAACAAAAACAACAACAACACTGCACTGACAGCTGTTTGAAGTGTTCCTCCCAGGTGTCCTTCCAGATACTAGCTAGAGCCAAGTGGAATTAATCAGGCAAGGTGCAACGGCTGGGTGTGGTAGCTGATGCCTGTAATCCCAGCACTTTGGGAGGCCAAGGCAGGTTGATCACCAAAGGGCAGGAGACCAGCCTGGCCAACATGGTGAAACCCCGTCTCTACTAAAAATAGAAAAATTAGCTGGGCATGGTGGCAGGTGTCTGTAGTCCCAGCTACTTGGGAGGCTGAGGCAGGAGAATTGCTTGAACCCAGGAGACGGAGGTTGCCGTGAGCCAAGATCGTGCCACTGCACTCCAGCCTGGGTGACAAGAGTGAAATTCCATTTCCAAAAACAAAACAAAACAAAACAAAAAATCAGGGAAGGTGCCATAAAGATGACTCCCAGGCAAGGTTTGAAGGGCTAGAGGAGAGCCAGTTTTTTGGCCAAGAACTAGGAGGATGCAATGATTCAGATGGGGATGAGGGCAAGGGCAGGGTCTGGGGTGGGATGAATGCATGGGGAAGAGTAGTCAGCAGAGCATCATGTTTGACCGGAAGACAAGAGCCACAAGCCTCCAGTTCTTTAGCAGAAGAACTGGAGGTAAAGATAGGTGCATCAAAGATAGCCTGTGATTAGGAGGTTAAAATGAAATCTGAAAGACAGAGTCACTCCAGACTCTGGGAAAGCTCATGATGCAATCAAAATGATGTACCAAGAGGTGTCTCTGCTAAGTCCGGGCCACATAAAGACATGAGAGATGGGGAGGCCCACTACAGGTGAGGTCATGAGTCCTTGCTTTGAGGGAAAGTAAACAGAAAATACAAGGATTCTAAGGGAATGCATAATTTCCAAGAAAAGTCATAGCGAACTGTGTCCAGGAAGCTGAGATGGAAGAGGAATAACTTCTTAAAAGTACTAAATGTGGCCAGGCGCGGTGGCTCATGCCTGTAATCCCAGCACTTTGGGAGGCCAAGGCGGGTGGACCACAAGGTCAGGAGATCGAGAACATCCTGGCTAACACAGTGAAACCCCATCTCTACTAAAAATACAAAAATTAGCTGGGCGCAGTGGCAGGTGCCTGTAATCCCAGCTACTAGGGAGGCTGAGGCAGGAGAATCGCTTGTACCCAGGCGGGGGCAGAGATTGCAGTGAGCCGAGATTGCGCCACTGCACTCCAGTCTGGGTGACAGAGTCAGACCCCATCTCAAAAAAAAAAAAAAAAAAAAAAAAAAAAAAAAAGGCCTAAATGTCAGGAGGGAACCCAAGAGGATAACTCTCTATCAAGTAGGGTTCCTAGATTTCTTCTCTTTCAGAATTCTCATCTGATCATATTTAGGATAGCGCAAGAGGGCAGTACAATTGATATTGGCAGAAAAGAGAAAAGGGGGCATATCCAACTGGTGAAATCGAAGAACTTTCACTCTTACATTCATATACTGGAAAAGTCAGTAGCCAGAAAAATATTTTGAAAATCTGTAATAATTCAGATGGAAAGACATTCACAACTTTTGCAATGTGAGAGAAGAAATTTCGGAAAAGTAGATCAAGCACGATTCTATTTCTGTAAAGCTACATGTATTTATTTGTATATATATATATCCATAGAAAATCTTCTGGAAGAAAACACACTCAAATGCTAACGGTGGTGAACATCTATGGGCAGGTAGATAATAATGACATGGCAGATTTTTAATATTACTAGTTTGTATTTCCTTAATTTCTCTTCAAGCTATTACAGAGAATCCATGTAAAAGACTAATGTTTTCAATGAAAGGATTAATGTTCTTTCCATCTCATAACTCAAGTTTCCAATAACGTCTTCCTCGCTGAGGGTAGAATAGTCAGTGCCTTACACAAAAGCCAGTGTTTGCATTAAATGACTGTGGTGCAGCCTCGCATAACATAAATGACTTCAACAGCCACATCCTGATGCACAAGGGAAAACAAAGGAATGGAAATTTCAAAAAGCTAAAGTCACAAAAAGTAATGGAAGGAGTAGTAACAACAGCAGCAAAGGGAAATGCCCTGGGCGGGGAGACAGACCCCCACCCACACATCCCCAGCACTTGTTTTCTTGACTCTGGAGGCGCTTTCTTGATTAGTCTATTTAAAAAAATGTTATTGTTTTAAAAATTGTAGCTAAAAATAACATCAAAATGCACAACATATGCAGAAACACCCCATGATGCAAATTATGTATGAAGAGGATGCAGCGATGTGGCCGGGAGTTAGCATGAAGCGTGGTTATTCTATCACGGAGATATGCTCCTCATCCACAAACCAGAGGGACGCACGGTCCAATCACCAGTGTCAGGTTTTACTGTTTGGTTTTATTTGTCAAAACTACTGCTTTACATGCAGAGGAGGGAGGAGTGTGTGTTTCTTCGGGTGGGGGATGGAGGGAGCATTATAGAAGAACACGCATCCCAGTGACAGTATTTTTAAAGACTCTATCTACCATCTTTTCTGAACTAACAATTTCACCTTGAAATCTGTTACAATAAGTACCTTTAATCAAAAGCCATTTGTTTTCCATTCTTTTCTATGGGCATACATTCACTATAGCTATTTACTGTAGTTCATTATTTCAGCATATTGCAATTATCATTGTTGTAGCCTTCAATCCTATTGCATTAATGTAGGAGTATGAAAAAGTCAGAAAGGAAAACTTAAAACAGTTCATTTTAAACTGTATTGCCTGTTAACAACCCTGTCCAAAATTTTAGTAGGTAAAAAAGCTGAACCACTGCCTACAAGAAGACCAAAAGATTGTCTGAAGATTCCATTTAGTACTTGTTTCCTGTTCTCTGTAAAACACGGATATTCTCTTGGTAAAGACATTCCATTTCTATTTCTATCTAGTGACCATCGAATATGTTGTAACTTGTTTACCTATTAAATAGGGAATTATAGCAATAATCATAGGAATTGCAGTGGCAGTAACAATAAAAACCAGAATAATAATTTGTCTCCTATTTGCCTTCATAGTAACATTACTAAGAACTAATAAACTCTGAGGCTAGAGACTAAAGTAAGAATTTGGTTTAGGACTGGTTTTTATTATTATTTTTATTTTTATTTTATTTTATTTTGAGACGGAGTCTCACTCTGTCGCCCAGGCTGGAGTGCAGTGGCACGATCTTGGCTCACTGCAAGCTCCACTTCCCAGGTTCACGCCATTCTCCCGCCTCAGCCTCCTGAGTAGCTGGGACTACAGGCGCATGCCACCACGCGTGGCTAATTTGGTTTTTGTATTTTTAGTAGAGACGGGGTTTCACTGTGTTAGTCAGGATGGTCTTGATTTCCTGACATCGTGATCTGCCCGCCTCGGCCTCCTAAAGTGCTGGGATTACAGGCGTGAGCCACCATGCCTGGCCCGGACTGGTTATTACCTTATAAAGGGAAGTACCATCAAATTGTTATCAGAGTAACTTGTTTCCAGGGAAGCCACTGTGGGATGAATGAACAGTCACTGGAACCAGTAAGCGAGTATATGCTATCCCTGGGCTAGGAGTTGCTGGTATATACTGAAGTACACAGTTACAAATCAATGCAAAGCAAATTAGCCAAAAGAGGCAAAAGTCACTCCCCTTTCTAAGCAGATTGTTAACAATGTCCTAAGAGAATGCAAGCATTTAAAAACTGTACATGGCTGATATTGGAAATATTGAGATTTAGAGCAACTAGAGAAGTTTTCAGATGCTTGAGAATATACATTGAAACATCACCTTACTTTTGAACAGAACACAAACTTACTTAGATCGATGCTTCTTCTGAATAGAAGCAGAAAAAAAAAAAAGGTAGGACTGTGATAGAAAACTATTTCAGAGGTTGATCCACTCATCTGGACCAAGTCCCTGCACCTAAAAATACAGGAAGTTAGATTTTAAGGTTTCTAAAATCTGCCAAAACTGTGCAACAGAGCTGGCCCTTGGCTGTCCAAACCTTCTAGAAAGGCAGAGTTTTAAAATGCACTTACACCGTGGGCACCCAATAAATGCTTGATGAATAAATGAGTGAAATGAATGAATGAATGCATGAAAGAATGAGTGAGTAGCTTATTGAAAGTTGTCTGTGACATTCTATTAGGGCCTGAAAAACCAACAGCAATTATACAAGAGTCTTGCCCTTAAGAAGCTTCTATTCTATCAGGAGAAGCAAAAATATAAATAAGTTTAATACAGTGTGATACTTGCAGTAATAATGCAAGACCTTATCAGGGAGCAATTAGTGAAGAACTAGGCAAGGGGTTAAAGAAAGCTTCTAAGATAGGATCTAATTAAACAAATTCACACCAAGGTGCTAATATCTTATCTGTGGCCTCTGCCCCAGGATCATTTGCATTTTAATAGAAAACTAGCTGATGGCTTTGCTTGATACTTGAGGACTGAACTACTATTAGTAGCATTTCAGGCCTCAGGAAAGAGGTCAGCAGAAAGGATGCTTCAAATAACACTACTAGGCAGAAAGTCTACCTACAGTTCTATCATGAAAAAAGGTTCAAAGTGGGTAGATGCAAGGCTTCTTCAAACACTTGTATCTAATAAAGACGTGAAAGAGAGTTGGTGAAGACTGGGTGCGGTGGCTCATGCCTGTAATCCCAGTGCTTTGGGAGGCCGAGGCAGGCAGATCACCTGAGGTCAGGAATTTGAGACCAGCCTGACCAACATGGCAAAACCCTGACCCTACTAAAAATACAAAATTAGCCTGGTGTGGTGGCGGGCACCTGTAATCCCAGCTACTTGGGAGGCTGAGGCAACAGAATTGCTTGAACCTGGGAGGCAGAGGTTTTGAGCCGAGATCACACCACTGCACTCCAGCCTGGGCAACAAGAGCAAAACTCTGTCTCAAAAAAAAAAAAAAGAAAAAGAGAGAGTTGATGAATGGTTTCAAAGAGTTTCAAAGAGATATTTGCACACTCATATCCATAGCAGCATTATTAACAATAAACTAAAGGTGGAAGCAACCCAAGTGCCCACTGATAGATGAAGGATAAGCTAAATGTGGTCTACACATACAACAGAATATTATTCAGTCTAAAAAGGAAGGAAATTCTGACATGCTATAGCACAGACAGACCTGAAGGACATTATGCTCAGTGAAATGAGCCAGGCACAAAAGGACAAATACTACATGATTCCACTTATATGAGCCACTTACAGTAGTCAAAATAATAGACAGCAAGTAGAATGGTGGCTGCCGGGGGCTAGGGTGGAGGGTAGAGCATTAGTATTTTATGGGTCTAGATTCAGTTTTGCCAGAAAAAAAGAGGTGTGAAGACAAGACAATGGAGATGGCTTCACATCAATATGAATGTACAACTATACACTTAAAAATGGCTAAGACAGTAAATTTTATGTTATGTGTACTTTACTATAATAAAAAAAACTGGAAAATTATGTTGGTGAACTATACCATAGCTTTGAAACTTACATGCAAAGTTATCTGATTATTATTATGTTAGCTATTTTATATGGAAAGTTATTGGACAGAAGTCAGAATGGGTAGTTTAGACTGATTAGGTAGACAGCTGCTTGCTTCCTAATCTGTTTGAAAAATGACACCCAAAAGATCTCCCCTGGGATCAGCTGAAATCACCATTAAAAAAATTCAGGCCATGCTTGTAATTTCAGCACTTTGGGAGGTCAAGACAGGAGGATCACTTGAGGCCAGGGAGTGTGAGTCCAGCCTGGGCAACATAGTGAGACTTCATCTCTATAAAAAATAATTAAGAGAAAAATTAAATCCTTCCAACCCTTAGCCTTTGAAAAATGCAATTATCCTAGCCAAGGTCTCTATCAGCTTAATGTGAGTGTCTCAACAAGACTGTTTTTCTCCACAGGCCAACCAAGGTACCTAGACTGATGTGAGGCATTTGGAAGAGGGGAAAGATTCGTCTGGAAAGGGAACAGAGAGTGACCAGCCACTGAAAGGACAGGCAGGAACCACTGGAAACAAACTGCGCCTACTTTGAAATTTCCCCCACAGCACAGATGACCTTTTGCCACAAGTTTTCATACAAGCTTTGCTTTCTCATTCCAATAATCTCCCTGCTATCTGAAAGACTTCTGGCAATTAAAACACACACACACACACACACACACACACACAATTCAAAACTTGAAAAGGGCTTCATCAGAAGATGAACAGGTCTTCTGCGAAATAATTCCCAACCATCACAATGTAAGTTAATCACAGGAAGTAATTTTGAATTTTCAGTGTCATCCTGAAACTGAACTATGGTTAGTAATTTGAGATTGAGATGAACGAAGTAAATGGAGATGCCTTAGAGCTCGGCATTCCTGAGTTTGCTGCAATGAGTAGTTAAGTTTGAAGAATCTAGATATGTGAATGATGTAATAGATAAGGCAGACAGATTGGATCAGAGGGGTTTTAATATTAAGATAAGTGACAATGATAGCTCACAGTCATGACCTTATGCCTATATCATAGAGTGACACTAGACAGCCAGTGAAATGCAAAGCAGCCATGTGCCCTGGATTAGATTCGCACCTCTCTGTAGCTGGGCAGCTTTCAGTAGAGCATGTCAGGAGTGTGCGTATGTGTGCATGCATGCGTGTGTGTGTGTGTGTGTGTGTGAGACAGAAAGAGAGAGAGTCTGTCATTGTAATATACAGGGAGTTTACATAAGAGAAGGTTGGAAGAGCAACAACAATTTGAATTAAGGTAGCCTATTTTTCTTTATAAGACACTCGGAATACCTAACAGGCCTTAACTTCATCAATCTCCGCACCATCTGTCAGACCTTAGGTTACAGTGACCACCCCCATGCATTAATCAAGAAGAGGCAACCAAGTGTGTAGCTTTGAGAAAAGTTCTGCTCTTTCAGACTTGACTGTATTATTAAAATTTCTAAAAAGGTAAACAACAGGAGGTGGTTTTAATCACAGTGTTGACTTTGATTGCATACCCATGTCCCTGGCAGCTTAGAATGGTTACAGCGCTTAAGGTAACATACAAAGTGCAGATGAGTAAGAAAAGAACCTGACAAAACTCAGTGAAATAACACGCAGGTGGCAGCATATGCACACCTGCGTCTTCACCCCACTTCCAAAAATAAGAAGATTCTATTTTTTTTTACTGTCTACTCCATACACTCTAGAACAGATTACATACATATTTATAAAGAGAAATGTATTGTTTCAATATTTTATGCAAAACTTCATGTAAGGTCATGTGTTTGTACAGCACAAAACATGGAATTGGGTATCTCTCCAGTCACCTATAAAGCTGAGCTCATCCCTTCTTCTGGCACTTGTTCTATACTGTGTTCTGGAAGCCAGACCAGATTGAACACAGCAAACCATATCTTCCTTTCAGTATAGAATGCAATGAGTCAGTGTTTATGCAATGATCTGCTATTAAAGCAAATAAGCAGAATCAGGAATTCCAAAACATGCCATGTTTTCATTTCCATTTCACATGAGTATAAAGCTCACCAAATTTGGGCACTTTAAATTATGAAGTCTCCTATCACACACTTCTTTATCAGTCCTCCACATAATTGTTTAACTAAGACTCTGATAAAAATGTCAAAAATGCTTGCCATGGTTCTCAGCAGCAAACAAATGCCTGCAGGCTCCGAGCATGCCCTGGGGTTTTTCAAACCCTCTCCTGTCTTTGAAAATGCATCCCATTCAGTTAGCAGTGCTGGTGATAAGACATGGCACGCAGAGGGTCTAAACCACCACCCCTAAAGGTGCCAGAGCAGAACCCTGCATTGAGTTTAATGCTGACAGAGCACTCCAATCAGTCAGTCTGTTCGAACTCTTTGATTGGAGAAAAGGTCAGAATCTGAGCTACAAAAGTGGCCTGCCTGCCCCTGGAAGATTAGGTCCTGGGTTTTTAGTTTTCCTTCTTGTCTTCCTCTGTTCCCACAATTCCCATTTATTTTCAATTATTTGGTTAGGGAAGGTGTCCCTCAAGGAAAAGAGCATAGGAATGAAGGCTGCCTGCCCTACTTGTAGACTCTTCTGTATGTTCTTTTTTAATGAAAAAAATTAGAAAACTTGGCAAATTATTATCTGCATCGCACACATTTTGATGCTCCCCTCCCTCAATTTTACCTATAAAAGATACCACTTCCAACATTTGAGTTATAACCCCAAGGACTGAAAAATACCCAGCCACTCCGACCCGATATCAGGCAGTTTCAGTGACAACAAACTGGTCCCCAAACGTACCGGTGAAAACCACACGTTCTCACTCTTGGCGACTTGAATTTGGTGAAATGAAACAGTCATTTCTATTTTTGCCTTTTGAAAGAGTTATGCTTAAAGGTGTAGTGAAAAGGTCAGATCTGGAAATTAATGGGTAAGCATGGTCCTATCCGAGGTCAGAGAAGCATTTTGAGAGTGCCCCAGAGCCTTTAGAACACATTGTTTATTTTGAGGTCAAAGGGAAAAACATGTTGGAAGGAAAAGAGTCTTTGGCTGGGTGATGACAATGACAAGAAGACACTTCCAGAGACTGGAATCTCTTTGACTCAGCCCCTTGGTAGGTGTTTATTTAGAACCCAAGGACATTGGAGTCTGGCAGGATCCCACAAAGGAGCGAGGTGAGGAACACTGGTGGAGTTCTCCCACCAGATTCATACGGATATTGCTGATGACCTGAGCCTCTGTCTTTTCTGCTCTACCTTGAAGGGCCTCCAACCTCTTTTCTGGTCACATTGTTCTGAAAGTACACGTCAGCTTTGAGCCACCTCTCAGTCAAGTCCTTCCATCTTCTCCTATGCTATCCCTGGGTCATCTCTTTGGAAACTTCCTGAATTGTCTAGGCTAACGAGTGTTTTTAGGCTTCTACCACCTAACCATGTCTCTACACATCTCATTGATCATGTCAACATCCTGCTTAAACTCTTTCAATGACCACTCCCCTGTCTTCAAGATAAACTCTAAACTCCTCAGCAGAACTTACTGAAAAGACACTTTATGATCTGGCTTTTTCTTCATGAGACTTCACATATGCCTGACTCCAGCCACTCCAAACTACTTGCTGTCTTCCAACATGCCATGTTCTCTCTTACCTTTGAGCTTTGCTCATGTTGTCCTCATGTGACTAGAGCTGGAGTTTCCCCATCCTTTGAACTGAACAAATTAAGTAATTTGCTTTGGTTAAAGGGAAATTAGCAAGCATCTTGAAGCAGAGCTTGAAAAGCACTCATGCACTGGGGCTTGCCCTTTCTTGCTGCTTTTGGGAACCCTTAGCCTGCAAAGTGAAGAAGCTCAGACTAGTCTACTGGAGGATGAGAGGCCACCTGAAGCAGAGACAAGCTGTCCCAGCTGAAGATCACCCATCTCTCAGGCAAACCAGCCTTCTAGTAGCTATGTGAGTGAGACCATGCTGGATTAACCAGTCCCAGCCAAGCTGGCCCAGACTAAAATAGTCCAGGTGACCCACAATCATAAGATTGTGGTCTTGGCCCTTAACTGTTGGGATGGCTTGTTACACAGTATATGCTAACTGATACATCCACTTTGTTTTCTGGTTAACATCTACTCCTCATTCAAGTCTGAGGATGAAAGCTTCCCTGATCCCAGAAGATGCCATGCTGGTCTGCATCCATGGCAACCTGTGGGTACCATTAGGAGAGAGCTGGTCATGGTGTAAAGGAATTGCCTGTTTTCTCATTTCTTTCCCCAGTGACTGAAAGCTCCTTTAACTACTGTAGGTGCCTAGCCTGTAGCATATGTGTGTGCATACACACACACACACACACACACACACACACTCTCTCTCTCTTTCTGTAAATATTTGCTGAAAGAAGATACAAGAATGTAGATATCCATCTTCAGGCTTTCTTCTATCCTAAATTTCAAAGAATTAGACTAGACTGTTTTTACCTATCACCACCTAGACACGGTAACCACATCAAAATGTATTTTAATGTTTTACTTTTTCAGAGTTCTACTCATATCAACAGCCTTTGGGAATCTCCCTACTCCTTTTATAGATGAGACTATTATAGTTTCCAAACTCACTGTGCCTTTCAGTTTGACTAATACTATAAAATTCACCTAAAATTCCAAGGGCCCTCAGCATATGCACATGGATAATTCTGACAAATGTGTCACCTTCACTGTCATAATTATTCTACTATATACATGTCAAGGAAGCAGAAGGTCTTAACAATACATAACCGAATTCACTGTCAGTGTAATGACAATGACAGTTAATGACAACTCCTATTATAGCAGAAATGTCTCTACAACAAAGAGATGAGCAAGTTGCAACTGCTCACCTGTTCACTTCAGCAACGCATCATGATAGATTTTGTTGTGTGAAATTTATCATAACAGCATCATGGCTGCCACAGTTATTAGGGAGCAATCACTGGGCTAAAAACTTAACAGACTTTATCGCATTTAACTCTCTTAACAGGTCAT
The DNA here is from genome assembly GCF_000001405.40 of Homo sapiens. NCBI lineage: Eukaryota > Metazoa > Chordata > Mammalia > Primates > Hominidae > Homo > Homo sapiens. The sequence goes on from NC_000006.12 coordinate 16,475,521, forward strand.
CAGGGTAGGTGTGGTCAGACCTTCTTTATAGATGAAGTAAATAAGGCTCAGAGAAGTTGGGCAATTTCCCAAAGGACACACAGCTACTGGGTGGCAGGTCTGAAATCTGAACCCAAATGTGATTCAAAGAGTCTCTTATATGAACTAATACTTTAAATCTGATGCTGTTAAGTGGCAGTGATAATGATCTTCCTTTGGAAGATAAGGAAATAGAGGCACCCAGATAGAGAGTAGCTTGCCACTGGTCTAAAAGGGCAGGGATGGGAAGAGAACCCAGGTGTCCCTTCTTAGCCTGAGGTTCCTGCTACTGGACAGAGCCCAAGGTGTCCCTATCTTCTCCTTAGTCATTACTTTTTTTTTTTTTTTTGAGATGGAGTCTCACTCTGTTACCCAGACTGGAGTGCAGTGGCATGATCTTGGCTCACTGCAACCTCCACCTCCCGGGTCCAAGTGATTCTCCTGCCTCAGCCTCCCGAGTAGCTGGGACTACAGGCATGCACCACCATGCCCAGCTAATTTTATATATATTTTTAGTAGAGATAAGGTTTCACCATGTTGGCCAGGCTGGTCTTGAACTCCTGACCTCAGGTGATCCACCCGCCTTGGCTTCCCAAAGTGCTGGAATTACTGTGCCTGGCCTAGTCATTAATATTTTGATTAACGCCTACCCCTGTGATCAACGACAACTTATTCAGGAAGAAGGGTTCTTTCTACTCTAGTATGCTTCCAGTTATTTACTGTGTATCTAGCTAGGTTGTGAAAAGAAAAGAATATGAAGCACGAAGTTCATGAAACCTAACTGGTCTATCATCTACTTTACCAAATTTCTTCTAAAAAAGCAACCATCAAACCCAGAGAAGAATTTGAAGCTTCTAACTTTAATGCCATTCACATTAGTTGTATTTCTTATTCATATGAGAGAACTATCTTTATGACCTGTGCACTATAAAGAATGATGAGTATTTAAACACTAAGTGTTGAATTAACAGTTATATAATAATCCAAAAAAAAAAACAAAAAACAAAAACTGTACTTCTCCACTGTATCAAAATGTACTTAATAGGTATTTATTGTTTCAGGAATATACAATGTCTTCTATCATTTAAATCATTTTGTCAATTTAAAATAATGACCTGGCTGGGCACACTACACCCTGTCAAACAAAACTGATTTACTTTATCTCATACAAAACATCCTGAAAATATGGGATGCTCTGAAAGTGCCAACAGCTACCCTTGGAGTTTTTCTTTTTCCAAAAATTATTTCTTTCAATTCCAGTCCCAGATCTTCACTACCAGCCCTTATTTCAGCTATGGTAGAAGGAGTGAATATACCTTCTGTTGAGTATACAAAACGTGCTAGAAATGGTCAGTTACACCCTAAATGTCTTTCCCATCATAAGCACACAGTTTCATGCAATTATCTCGACTTGAGTGTGGTCATTCAGTGGAACAAATGACAACGGTCATTGAGACTACAAAAACTCTTTTAGTCGTGAAGGGAAAGGCAACAATGCATACGTCATACTTCCTGTCATCTGTGGGTCTTCAATGCTCTGGGGACACCCTTTCATCAGTCTCCCTTGTTCCCCATTTCCTTGCAAAGACCCACCTTGAGTCTCTTTCTTCGTGAAAAATGTCTTGGCATCTCCAGGGCCACACAGACGAAGCACTCTCAGGAGAAAATGTCACCCAAACCCATTGCCTAGGGGCTTCCACAGAGAAGTGGCCATGGAGGGAAGCCCCCAGCTCTGCCAATGTCACTTGACTGTCCATTTTAGATTTCATCTAGGCAAGGCCACTTTGGACAGGGACTTTAAGATACAATCCACAGTATTTCTATGTTCTTTGGATCCAAATCGGAAAATGGCAGAAAAAGTCATTTAGTGCCAATTCAATGTGGCATAATGAGAGGAGAGCAATTAAGAAGATTACAAAGTGAGCCATATTCCTCTTCAAGGCTGGGTGCATGGATAAATTACCAGAGCTCAGTAAGAAGGCTCTCGTTACACTGGATGGCTTTCAGGCCAGACCTGTCAACAGGAAAAGGGGCCAAGAGGGACTGTCATGGTGTTTCCCTTCCTTCTGCCTCCCTTGACCTCTGATTCCTCCCAAACATCTACTCATGTCTCCAACTCTGCATGCCAGTGCTGATAAACAAGCAAAACATTAACCTAATTCACAAGAAAAACTGATACCATCAGATGCTTTGAGATCGCCTAACATCTTGGCCCGGCAGTCCCCACATTCTGCCTGGACTACCCATTAATTCATTTGTTATTCTCCGTGGGATTCTATCTGTACCAGAAAGACCATGTGGTCCATGATCCTTAGTAAGTGACACTCCCATGATACACTTAGTAAGTGACGTTTTCCTCCTGGAGGCCTGCCCAGATGAGGGAAATGGAAAATCCTCTTTGAGCAAGGTGACTGCCAACTCCCTTCTGACCCTCTCGAGGCCACCCTCTTCCACCACCACTCCCTTACTTGCCTTTAACGAAGTGCCAGCCAGCACGTTGCTAGGACAACTGGCGTCACTGCGGAGGCACAGAAATAGATCACCAGTGGGGCTAGGAACCTGGATTATAAACGCCAATGACAGTGATGAGATACTGATTGGCAGCTAATCTGTCCCCTATAGCAAGTGACCGAGTAACACTACCCAGTGGGCAGCTCTCACCTTGACACACTACCCTTTCATCTACATTTGTGCTTGATGTGGTAGTGACTGAGAAGGGGCAAGGAACTAGCTTTAGATAGGAGCTGCATGACTCTGTTTTGAATTATGTGAGCCAGTAGATATGTAGTAACCACCTGACATTTGCACCTTTAATTTGTTAGTTTCCTGAAAATTAGGGAGGAAGGCTGTTCACAAGCCGAAGTATGACAGCCAGAAACAGGTAGAGCCATTGAGGTTGCCAAACAGAAGGAAAAAACAATCTGTTTGGACAAGCAATAGCTTTCTCCTTTCTGAACAATAGCGTTCTACTCTTCTACCTTCTTTTAGAGATCAAAGAAGGAAAAGGCAAAGGAAACCGGAAAACTAGGGCTTGCCATGGTTGAAGAAGAGAATAATCTTTGTGCCCAGTTCTCTTTGTTCTGCAGGGTGAGTTTTACAATGCTTATAACGGGTAGCAACTCGTAGGAGCCCCATGCATTAAGACTGCCTATCAAAGTCTTGGATTTTAGCCCTGGAGAAATTACATTTTTTTTTTCAATTCTATGCAAGCCACAAAGGCTTGGGAAGAAGAAAGGAAAAATGAAATGAAGAGCAACCTAATGGAAACTTTAGAAAACCATTTTATCAAGAGCATTTTTATTTCCAGATGCACAAAGGAAGGCTGGTGAGGATGGCTGATGTGCAGATTGAAACACGTAACCAACAGCCTGGGACCTGTGCAGGGGTCCAGCAGCGAATTCTGACAGCAATGTGGGCAGGTCACCTCCCAGTGCCAGGCACTCAAGACTGGGAAATGATCACAAGATGCTGTTTAAAAATGTATTGAGAAAGAAGTAGAATTTAAAAGTAGAAGAAGATGGTTAAGAGTCCAAAGAGCATGATGATAAAAACCTGTCTGAGTTTTGGAAATAAAAGATTATGATAGAGGATAGCCATTTGTATACCATTTATGTTTCCATTTAAGGAGACTCTCCTTAAGCAAGTTGTTTCAGGAATATAAGCACAAATACAAAAAAAAATTGCTCTGAAAACTTAATTTCTCTAACATAGGTTTGAAACAGCTAATTTGCTATCACACCTCAAAATCATTTTATACTTGTCAAAAATGACTTTTTCTGAATCATGTAACATACTTGTTTAGGTGTCTGGAAAAGGTTAACATAATCTTCAGGATTTATAGAAGATGGATTAATTCTTTCAGTCTACAATTCTACTTAGCAATAATTTATTACATAGCTACCACTGGAAATTTAACATGAATTTAAGTTGGAGACATGGTTAATATTTTTATGGTATAATATGATTCTTTTACAAAAGTGAAAAATTTAGATAATTAAAAAATGAAGTTACCTTTCTATTTGTCTGTTTACATTAGTCCTAAGGAGTAATTTATGTGTTGTTAAGAACCAATAGATTTTGTTTGGGTTCTATGACTAAACAATGTCAACTAGTTCTTATCACTATTCAGTCATCCCTGCCCTTCTTTATTGTGGATTCTTGAACATTGAGCACTTCGAATTTATACCACCTAAAAAATACATCTTTAGTTTTGTTTGGGTTTTTCTGTACAAAGTTCAGTTGGAAACACTGCCCTTACTAATGCTGGGAGGCATCATTCTTTAGGCATCCCAAGTTCTTGCTTCAACTTTTACATATAAAGATCCAAAATGTGCCAGGCGTAGTGGCTGATGCCTATAATCCCAGCATTTTGGGAAGCCGAGGTGGGCAGATCACTTGAGCTCAAGAGTTTGAGATCAGCCTGGCCAACATGGTGAAACCTTGTCTCTACAAAAAATACAAAAATTAGCCGGGCATTGTGAGGCACACCTGTAATCCCAGCTACTTGGGAGGCTGAGGCAGGAGAATCGCTTGAACCCAGAAGGTGGAGGTTGCAGTGAGTTAAGATCGTGCCACTGCCCTCCAGCCTGGGCAACACAGCAAGAGACTTCATCTGCAAAAAAAAAAAAAAAAAAAAAAATATCTAAAATGATCCTGAAGAAAATGGTGGCCTGGTGGCCATGTGCTACAAATCCTCATGCTATGTTTTTGTCAGTGTTCAAACCAAACAATTTCTGATGGAAGGAAAGCTCTGGCTCTGAGCTCTCACATGCCCAGACACAGAAGTAGTACATAAAATACTATTCCTAGTCTCTTCTCAAAGCATCCTTTGTCTTCTCTAAATACACATATATATTGGGTTGAAATTCCACCTCTGCTTGAAGGCTCAATTTAGATGTCTTCCCTGAAATTCCAGCGCTGACAACTCTTACCCATCGTCCCTTTCGGTACACCTGACTCCGCCACCAAGTACATCCTTCCCATAGCACCTTCCTAGAGTCTCAAAGGGCAGTAAGTACAGATTACTCAGCCCTGGATCCCTGATAGACTCAAGAACATCCTGGCACACAACACTCTTTTAATAAATATCATGTAATTGAGTGAACTCTAAACTTAAAGAGGACACAAAAGCATTTTACCTTGGCACTATTCAGTTACAAAGCAGCCTGACCAGGCTGTTGATGTTGTTTCACCCCATAGAACACAAATGTTGTAAAAGATCCATGAACTTTTTTCCTTCCACAACGTCTGGGTGTTCTTTGCATTTTCCTCCTCCTCTCCAAGATGCTGAGAGGAGGAGCTGAGTACTTGAGGAAGAAGGTGCTGAGGGGAAAGGGTGTGCCTGGGATGGGCTACGCTTTGTCAGTTGCCTCAGGAGGTAGCTCTGACACCACTTCTTAGAAGCAGTGACTCCTGCAAAGACCCTGCCAAAGGTGCCCATCCCAAATAACACACCAGGGGCAATGGCCAGGAACTAGTGAAGCTGTCAATCAGAAGCCATTCAAGGAAGTCTGAGGAAGAGAGAGAAATGGGTGAAAGAGAAAACTCTAGAAGACTTGAAGCTATCCCCAGTGCACTTGGATGGAATGAGCTCAGTCATAACCTCTCTGCCTTTACAATCTGTAGGTCAATCTGCAGGAGCATTACAAGCAAGGATTTAAGAAAAAGGAGATTGTTCTCCCTCACTTGTCCAAAAGTGGTGGAATCTCCCCTTCTCTCCTGACCCTCTTATCTACTTCAGATTTTTTTTTTGTAACGCTGGAGAATTTGGTATCACAGATGGCAAATCTAAAAGGTACAAACTGACAGACACAGAGGGAAATTCCCAGATTGCTCTTATTAGAGTGTGCGTGTGTGTGCAATTCTCTTAGTCTGGAGATTCAGAGTAAGAGAAATTCAGCTCCCATTTTTTAAGACTTACACAGACAGCATAATGCTGTTTACACAGGTACAGAGGTATTTATTTTAGTCTCTCCATTTCTTCCTAGGAATAAAGTAATGCCTGCACTCAGAGCAGTTATTCTGAAAAGGGAGTCCATAGACACACAAAATTCCAGAAACCTTTATTATTGCTGTCCTCAAAAGCTAACTAGCACAATGCCTCCCTAAGAAAGCTTTTGTGAACTTCCCATCACACACCACAGAGACATTAAATGGGTTTCATTTGTACCAGCACACCATTTTTTCATTCTAAGGTGTGCACTAGAATGAAGTGTTATTCAGTCAGCCCCTTTCTAGGGAGATACAGCACTTCAGGCCCATCCCTACTTTGAAAAGAAATATGAACGTAAGCAGTGATGAAATGATGTGATGATAAGAGACAAAACCACCGCCGTTCACAGAAAGCCAGGGCAGGATGCTCACAAACAAGTGACAAAGCAAACCACTCAAATGGAAAAGGAGAGGAAATACAGACAGTGCAGACTTTTAAAAAAAGTATTAGAAAATCCCCAAACTCTACTGATAGGTCTAGAATTTTTTTTTTTTTACACAAATTGTTCCCTCCTCACATTTCTTTATACACATCAAGTATCCACTTCTAAGGAAAATAGTCTAGACTCTCCATCCCTTCCCCACACCCTTAAACTGCTATCAGATTCAAGCATTCTCATCAGAACAGCATGTATGTTCCTTTTCCTAATGGCTCAGGCCCACACATGAGAGGCATTCACTTAGTGAATGTCATTTAGGCATTCACTCAATGAATATTTACTGACTGCCCATTATGGGAACAAGCAGTATTTTAGGTACTATTCATTCACCAGGGAAGAATAAGAATGAGAATAAGGATAAGAATACCATCCCTCCTTTTGCAGAGCTTGCAGACTAGTTGAGGAGACTGATGATTAACAAATAAATATATAATATGTAAGGTGCTTAAAAGAAAAACACAGAAGGCTAGAGGACTGAGAGGGATGGGGTGGATGCTATTTTATGTAGATCAGGGAAGGCTGCTTTGATAAGGTAACTCAAGAATTCCTACTTAAGGAAGCAGAGAAGCTTAGGAATGAAATATGGATCACTTTCTCCTTGCTTAGACTCTAACCAATATTTGAGCACAGAGGTGGTTTTAGAAAACTCAAGTTCAAAAATCGTTCCTGTTTATTTTCAAAAGGACCAATGAGTGTGGACCCTAAATTTAAACAGCTAAAGCTATAGTCTAAGGACAGTCTCAAATAAATACCTTTGAATTGTCATATGGTGCCCAGGAGGGTCTTGTGGAAAGGGTTTCATGGTAGTGAAAGATGTAATAACTCTTTTTTTCTTTTAACCCTAAGACTGTGCTCAATGTTTTAAAAACAGTTGTAAATGAGGTAGTGCCAAATCATTGATTTTTAGGAACCCAAGAAGGTAAAATAAACGTTCAATTGGCCTCATCTAAGGCTGATACTTTATGCAACTTGAGACACTTAGGGTAAAAACCACCACTGGAGGTGATTTAACTCAATTTTCTCAAGTTGTCCATCATAAAATGAGTCCCCATGGTAGAGAGGACCCAAGGTTATATGGCTAACAACAGCATTGTGCATAAAATCCAGGTCTGCTAACTCTGAGTTCAGTGTCAGCATCATTCTCTTCTTGTACAAGATCCCCCCTCCCCCCAGCCCTTACAGCCAGTCTGAAACATCTTCAGGGGCAAAGGCCATCTGCTGGCAAGTGGTGGCAGATTTGAGAGGCAGTTAATGGGACATGCACAGGAATGAATGCCAGGAGTAACATCTGCAAGGACTGCTGAGCATGGGAACCACTACTTCCAATGGCTGCTGTGATTATCACTCACACATTTATACACCCACTCCTAGACCCTGTTTATGTGCAAACATGCATTCTTTGAAAATTGCCTGCCTTCTCTACTGCAACAGTTCTCCATGGCACAGGCTTTGGGGCATGCAGGACACTAAACCCAGGAAGACAGAAAACCAGTGTTGTAAACATGTGCCCAGATAATGAAAGGTTACCAACATCACAGTTTACTAAGAAAACTAGGAACCCCCCACTGCCCCTACCAAGCAAATGCGGTTTTGAAAAGAAAGTACTTAGCATGCACAAAGAGTTCACTAGAATTTGGTATTTCCTTGCTCTCTCAACACACTCCATTTACAGAAGGATTTTAAAATTACTTCAAGTCTGCCATGTGGCATCTTAAAGTGTACACTTCAGAAGTCCTTTGAAAACCTCACTCAATCTTTGAGGTCTGACAGGGTGTCACATGAACAGTTCAAAGCAACGGTTAAAACAACAACAAAAAACCCCCACTAGATTTGAAACAAAAGCTATCTTGATTATGGTAACTGCATGAGTTATTTAAATAGAGCCTGAAACCTAAAGCAGTTTTACATAAGACACTTGTTTCCTAGGATAAAAATGCTTTAAAAAATACCACCAGAAGTGCATTCTAACAGTTACCTGATTGGGAAAATGATTTCTAGTAAAACACACTGTAACTGGAGTACCCAAATCTAACATGGCCCACAATTATTCCTTGATAGTGACAGAAACTTTTACAATAAGGTTTTTTTTAAAAAAATAAGTAAAATAGTGCTTTCACAATGCTCTTCCCCTTATGAGGACCCTAAACCAAGATGCTGATTGCTTAATAAAAAGGTAGTATGGGCTGGGGATGGTGGCTCATGCCTGTAATCAAAACATTTTGGGAAGCAGAGGCGGGAGGATCACTTGAGCTCAGTAGTTCAAGACCAGCCTGAGCAACATGGTGAAACTCTGTCTCTACCAAAAATACAAAAAATTAGCCAGGCATGGTGGTGTGCACCTGTGGTCCCAGCTACTCTGAAGGCTGAGGTGGGAGGGTCACTTGAGCTTGGGAGGCAGAGGTTGCAGTGAATCGAGATCTTGCCATTGCACTCCAGCCTGGGTGACAGAGTAAGGCACCACCTCAATTAAAAAGAAAAAAATGAAAATAAGGTAGTATGAAGCAATACACAGACTTGCAAAATATTGTTTTATGGGGGCTCGCGACTTGCCCAAGGTTGCCAGTGTACTTGATCTCAACAGTAGGAATAGGATTCAGGTCAGCTGATTCCAGGCTGACTGATTTCCACTAGACCCAACGTGTACAGAATGGAAACACAATGAAGCTTCAGTGTCTCCCACTGTCTGCTTTCAATGAAGCACTGGGAAAATTTGAATTTAATAAGCTCATATTAATATTACTGATTATTTAACCCTGAGGAGATGATATGGATACATATGCATATTTTAATACAAATGTTTAGAAATCTATGAAACCAAAAAAATTAGGAACATTTTTTTTCCTTGTCAATACTTTTCTCCCTGATATATGCTACACTTTGCTCTTTACAAATCTTGTAGGCAACTGCAAAAAAAATAGGTAATACATGTTCAAAAAAGTTTTCTGGCTGAGTTAAGAAGCTGGAAACCTAAATATATATGTGTGTGTGTGTGTGTGTGTGTGTGTGTGTGTGTGTGTGTGTGTACACGCACACACATACATAAACAAGAGTATACATATATATTACAGAAATATATGTATTTATATATACACAAAAACAACAACAAAAACCTAGAAGAAATTGGCTTGTCATTTCCTAAAATTTGAAGATAATATCTTCTCGTCCTCAGAGGTATTCATAGGCCATCCTGGGTTTCATGTAGCTATTTTCTTTCCTGGTCAAAATCTCCTAACTGTGTTTTGTGACACAGTCCAGCAACAAGGTAAATTCTCTAGAAAGTAGGAGGGCTGAGCACCTTTGCATTATTTCCTAGTGGAAGGGCTCCCTGAAGTCACACTATGTCATCTCTTCCATTACCTGACACTAAAACTTCTCATGCAAGGCGGCCATCAGGTGACATGTGGGAACAAACTTTACTAATCTCAAAATCCCAAGCCAGTAACTGATCAAAACCAGTAAATCAGCTCATTTTAAGTAAGGGAAGCACCAAACATAACTGCTTGTAACTTGCATACCTCAAGATTTTACAAGCCAGAGAGAAAAATGTCATTTTCATCAACTGCACATACAGAAGAATAATTGCTGGATGGAAACTCTGATTGCTAATCCTTAGCCTGGAGAATTTTACCCCCTACTCACCAACCTAAAAGAACTGCAACAGCCCAGTTTAAAGGGGCTGCTCTAAATCTGATACTATTTGACTGTACCAGTAGAAAAGGTGTTCCTACAATGAAAGAATCACTGTATTCCATCCTTTTATTCCTGAAGTAGATAGTTTGCAGCATGCCATAGAAGCCGAGAGAAAGGCAAGTTCCAGCAAATACAAACAGGACCTCTTCCCTTAAAAAATTAAATTCCCTTCCAATTAAAAAAAGAAATTAATTGGACGATCACCTAGAGCTCATGCTAATACCCCTTCAACACCTGGCTCGGTTACATCAAGTGATTCATGAATCCTACAAGGCAAGCCACTACACATATTGTTCTTGGTTGTTAACTTACAACATTCACTGCGTACTGTTCACAGGTAGCCTCAGCCTATACTTCACCATGGAGACTTCCCACAGGCTCTGGAGGGCTCCTGAGGGCTCTTGGGCTCAGGCGTGTTCTTTCTTCCTTTCACAGAGAAGTGAGAAATACCTAGCATGGAAATAGAACAGAAGAAAAAGAAAAAGGTAAACACATCATCAAATCACTTGTTATCTGAACAAATACAGTCTCACGACCAATTAGACGAATTGATAGTTCACCAAAGACCATTTTCTTAAAAAAGAAGTTCAATGTTCTTGCTCTTTTCCCAAAAAGAACACAACATGGTACAGCCAGCCTCTCCTCACCCCAAAGTTGAAGCCATTTCTGGGAGACTTCAGACACAATCTTAGCTGAGATGCAAACTTGCAAAAGCCTCAAAACAGGCCACTTGGCTTTACTCTTCTGCAAAAGGAGGCAAGGACTAGCACCTTCTGCCACTGTCATATCTTACTGGGTCATGGAGAAGATCAAGAAGATCATTCTTGCAAAGCACACACAGTTCCCGAGAAGAAATCCACTATGTTAATGCAAAGCGTTGTTGGTGGTCATAAGCCTGTTCCTGAGCTCTGGAGCCAGAATACAAAAGCCAGCACTGGTAAGGCACCAATCATCAACTATCCCGGGAGCATCCAAACGTCTGCATGCCCTACTGTGCTGAGTTTCAGGAAAGAATAGGAACAGAAACGAAGAATCTGGAATCTCCGGGAAAAAGAAAGTGAAGGCATCACGCAGGAAGCTAGGAGAAAGAGTGTAAGGTGGGCAGTAGGGCACATGCAGGAGCGTGGTTATTTGGTACACGGCTCCCTCAGATTGCTGGTTTGCAGCGTTTCGTGCACTGAATGTTTGCGACACTGTGAAATTTTCCACTTGGCTGTCTGCCATTTCCGCCCACCGAAGACAACACTTACACCCACCAGAGTGGCACAGCGAGGCCCTGCTGGAAAAGGATTGGATAACTTTTTGTTTATTTGCTGTTGCTTTTAATGAAAAGACTTATTCATATCCTGATCATTAATATTTTCCACACCTGGATTTCTTGATTTTTTTCCCCCTTTCAAGGCTGACCCAGGAACAGCTTCTCCTGGAACGATACTATCAACTTATTTCGCCTTGTATACTTTTGAGAAGCACACTTGAGGCAAAGGAACTTGTATTAGCAGCTTTGAGGATGACAAGAAACAGAATTTAAGTGCTACACTAGAATCTTGTTGCTTCCCAAATACATCATCGACAAAGGCCAGTCATGTTTTTCCTTTCAAATCATGAGCATGCACAGAAAAAACAGTTGTAGTATTAGCATTGTGGGTGTCATTAATAGCATTTCTGAGGAAAAAAAACAAAAAAGAGTGGTCCTTTATCTCTAAAAAAAGGCAAGAATGAATAATAACAAATCTTAGATTTGGAATTGGTAACACACTGACAAGTATATCTCAAAATAAAGAACTAATAAAAAATGGAGAGACAAAATTGGGACAGAAGAGAGAAAGGAGGTGTCTGCTACTCACATAATTAACCATCACTTTCATAATGAATACAGTTTACCAAGTGCTTTCTCATTAATTAAATCATTCGCTTGATACAATTTTACTTGGTACTTGCTAAATCCACCAGGCTCTGTGTTCAACTGGGGAATACATGGTAAACAAAATAGCCCAGGACCCTGCACCCAAGGAGCTCACTGCCTCAAGAGGGACAGAATTAAATAATTATATGAGTTTTAGGAGATGCATAAAATTTGAAAACTGGATAGGCAATATGAAGGAAAAATGAACATTGTGATTTGTAGTCATGATGGGGGTACCTCACTTAGAAGGAGGGTCTCAGGAAGGCTTCTCTTACAAAACTAACATTCGAACAGGAAAGTCAAAAATGAGCAGAAGTTAGCCAGGCATCAGGTTTCCAGGTAGAGGAAACAGTCTGTATTATACGAACTGATCTAGTGATGTACAACTGTGTTCTGTTATTTCTCTCTTTTTTATTTTGCCATTTCAACTGAGTCTCCTTGAAAAAGAAATGAGTGACACAACTGTTCTCCATACCTTGAAATAAGAGATGATTCATCTTTCTGACTGCTAGGCCATCAGAGCAACACACACCTTCTCTGTGATTAATTTCGGTGAGAGGAACACCCCTGATGCAGGTATTATTCTTGATGTGACAGCAAATAATGACCCTGCTCTCTAATGCACCCCAAGTCACTCCGTTATCACAGTGAAGTAAAAGGAAGCTCTCTTGTTGACACCTGCATGCCACAGCTGAAGTTAAGAAAACCCTCCCCCAAAAAGGACTGAAAACAGATCACATTACTTGTAGACTTCTGAAAAACATCTTTAGGACCTTGGATCAGGTACCAGATTTCTGGCTTCCCCTTGATGATTACGGTATTTTTACTATTTCTCTCTTGGACTTAAACAGCTTTTATGCCCACCGTTAACAGTGTTCCGTCAACCTTCTCTCTTGGTTCTTGGTTCAGTGGTCTGTTTACTTACCCACATGAGCCGCAAGCAAGGTGCAAAGAAATTAAAAGCAGTGGAAATGTCATGTTCATCTGAAGTGTTTTCTTCTTCCCTATCATCCCACATCTGGCTCAACTTAATTCTTCCACTAAGGAAAATCAGTAGTTTGCTTTCTTCATCCTACAACATTAAAGCATCATCCAACAGGCTCATTCATGTTCTCCCCATGAATGGAGTAAGTCTGAAAGCCTGTCTGAAACAAATATGCCAAACTTCTATTTGAGTCTCTTTCCATTTAAAATGTCCAAGATAAAATGTAATTTATCCTACAAGCTTCTTATACAAACAAAAATATTAACAATATTCCACATTCAAAGTCTCAGAGTATAAACCTTCACTTTGACCTGGCAACTTTGACACACTCAGAAAGGAGAGAGAGAACAAGAAAAAGCACTTCCTGAAGCCAAGGTGTCCAATATCTTGCCATCGGACCTGGGAAATTACGCCAGGCTGTCAGTTTCATCCTCTGCCTAGAGGAGAAAATGACACAATGCCAATTTCTCCTTCCCCTGACTGCCCACAGCACTTACAGTCTCTACCACACATTCTGACCCAAGGTCCTTTTCAGTTCAGCACTTTGTTATACTGTCTTTTTATACTCCACTGGATTTATTTAAGTCTTGAAGGCTCAAAAAGTTTCTAAGCTCTCTGATGAAAGAAACCTTGCCATGCCCTTCTTTTGCAACCTCCTAACAGCATCTAGTGGAAGAGCCTGGATTTAACTTAAATGATCCATATCCAAAACCTGTTCTAGGACTTAACCCTTACTCCAAAAGAATCACCAGTCTACAGCTATGCTTTAAGCCCATTTCACCTTTCTCTGTCTTCCAGGGACTTGAAAGTCTGATGATGCCTATCATCATCATGTGTCAGCCCTCCACAAACTCAAAAAAAATTAAATTACAACTTAGCCTTTCTATTCTGTTCTTCCAATCCATTACATCTTAAGTCATTAGTGGAATTTGAACAGTTGTCATCTCCTTTCAAGATTTACAAACTCCCCCATTTCCTCATCACCAGCAGCTTACATCACTAGCTCTCATAGCTTCTCAAAGCCACTATTAAGGAAACCTTCATGGCATGTGGAGGGGAGATGCAGACCTCTGAGGCAGTGATATTCAAACTTGAAGCAGCATCAGAAATGGCTGGAGAAGGCCAGGTGCAGTGGCTCACACCTGTAATCCCAGCACTTTGGGAGGCTGAGGCAGGAAGGTGGCTTGAGCTCAGGAGTTCAAGGCTGCAATGCACTATGATCACGCCACTGTACCCCAGCCTGGGCGAAAGAACAAGACTCCGACTCAAAAAAAGGAAAGAAACGAATAGAAATGGCTAGAGGGTCTTGTTAAATCAGAGAATGCTAAGACCCATCTGTAGAATTTCTGATTCAGTAGGCTTGGGGTGGGGTCAGATAATTTGTATTTCTGACAAGTTCCCAGGTGATGCTGATACTGCTGGTCCAGGGACCAGACTTTGAGAACCACTTCTCTAAGGTTAAATGTTTCTGTCAATTACAGGGCCAGAGAGATGCTGAGGATCTTTTGAGTACATTTAATCACCATTTGATAGCTACATTGAAAGCAATGATACCTGTCTATTTCAAAGAAGCGACAAATGACCAAAAAAAAAAAAAAAAACCAAAAACCAAACAACAAAAAACTTCACACACTATATTACCCAGGTTATTACACTGTGTGTGGCCTCTCTACTTGGAGTCTGAATCCATTCTCCTCCTACTGGTTCCAGATCCTGCTGGGGTCAACTCTGCTCCCAACTTCCCTTCAGTCTTTTTCCTCTCTACTGGAAATTTCTCACACTCCAAGCATACTCAGTCACTGCTATTCCTAAAAGAATTTATCCATACCCTAATACAGTCCCAAATGGCTGTCCTCTCTCTTCTGTTTACCAACAAACAGTTGTACTATACATTCAATGCCAGTATTTCACCGCCTACATCTTAAAACTCTGGAGCTTGATTTCCACCACTTTTCTCTGTGTTAGTAACCTTCCTTCTCCTCCAAAGGTCAAGAATGGTTTCCTGCCTTCTAAATGCAGTGACCTTTGCTGAGTCCTCCTCTTAACTTCTCTAACAATGTCTGATACAGTTCACTAGTAATAGTTCCTTCCATTTTCTTTTCCTTTTATTTAGTAGACTAGCATTTTTGCCTGAACAGCATCTTTTCTGGAATGATCTCTCCCCTTGGCTGTTATCTGGGCTGGGATGACTTCACACATTGGCCTGGAAGATGGACATATGACCCAGGTCTGGGCAATCGTAATACAACAACCCTCCAGCCACAGTGACTGGCCTAGGGGTAGGCATGTACCCAAGGCAAGCCAATCAAAGGCCTCTCTCAGACTACCTGGAACTAAGAGGAGCAACACACTCTTTCCTAGTGAGACCACGGGAGCATGATGCTACTAACAGCTGGTTTCTTTAGCCACCTCTTACAGAAAGCCCACTGGAGAAGGAAGCTTCCCAGTACAGAGAAAAGCTGAAAGACAGAAAATCTGAGTCCTGATGACAGTAAAGTCCCTTGGATTTAGCCATGCCAGAAGTTAGACGGATCCCTGGATTTTTTTTTTTTTTTTTTTTTTTTTGAGACGAAGTCTTGCTCCATCACCCAGACAGAGCAGTGGCACGGTCTCACTCACTGCAACCTCTGACTCCGAGTTCAAGCAATACTCCTGACTCAGCCTCCCGAGTAGCTGGGATTATAGGCATATGCCACCACACCTGGCTAATTATTATTATTATTATTATTTTTTTTTTTTTTTTTTTTTTTTGATACAAGGTTTCGCTCTTGTTGCCCAGGCTGGAGTGCAATGGCGCAATCTCAGCTCACTGCAACCTCTGCCTCCCAGGTTCAAGCAATTCTCCTGTCTCAGCCTCCTGAGTAGCTGGGACTGCAGGCACCAGCCACTACGCCCGGCTAATTTTTGGTATTTTTAGTAGAGACAGGGTTTCACCATGTTGGCCATGTTCAAGACAGGCTGGTCTTGAACTCCTGGCCTCAAGTGATCCACCTGCCTCAGCCTCCCAAAGTGCCGGGATTACAGGTGTGAGCCATGGCGCCCGGCCTGATCCCTGGAATTTTTAGTTATATTATGATAGACCAAATTCTAACGTAGCCCACAAGATTGCCATGTCCCCTGCCAGACACACACCTCTTCCCAGTTAGTCAGTGGGACAGTAATCAAGGTTCTGCTGTTGTGAAGGGATTTTGCAAATATAAGTGAGGTCCAAAGTCAACCAACCTTAAAATAGAGAGATTATCTTGGTGAGCCTGATCTAATTAAGAGAACCCTAAAAGGGATGGGGCTTTACCAGGAATGAGATTCAAAGTGAGAGAGGACATGTTGATGGAGGAGGCAAGTCATATGGCAAGGAACTGAAGGTGAATGCCAGGACCTGAGAGTGGCCCCCAGCTCACAGCCAGCAATGGAACGGGACCTTGGTCCTACGACCACAAGAAACTAAATACAAAAAACCATGTGAGCTTGAAAAAGGACCATGAGCTCCAGATAATAAGGCAGCCCTGTTGACACCTCAATTTCAGTCTTATGAAACCCTGAACAGATAATTCAGCTAAGCCATGCCTGGACTTCGGACCTCCAACAGATAATTCAACTAAGCCATGCCTGGACTTCGCACCTCCAGAAACTGTGAGATAATAAATAGGTATTGTTATAGGTGGGAATTGAACAATGAGAACACATGGACACAGGAAGGGGAACATCACACTCTGGGGACTGTAGTGGGGTGGGGGGAGCGGGGAGGGATAGCATTAGGAGATATACCTAATGCTAGATGACGAGTTAATGGGTGCAGCACACCAGCATGGCACATGTATACATATGTAACTAACCTGCACATTGTGCACATGTACCCTAAAACCTAAAGTATAATAATAATAACATAAAAAATAAAAAAAGAAAAGATGCACACACAAAAAAAAATAAATAGGTGTTGTTTAAGTCACTATATTTGTAGTTTGTCATACAGCAATAGAAAACCAATCCACATATAATACAATACATTTCTTTTTTTTTTTGCTTGAATCACTTTGAGTTTAATTTGTCTATTGTAACCAAAATAAACAAATATTCTTAATTTCTCTGAGATGGTACTTTCTTGGGTTCCTTATATTACTCCTTATGGCCCCTCTGCAGTTTTTTGCTCTCTCTGTTCTTTCTAACTCTAGGGGACAGATTTCCTAAGGCTATCTGCTCAGTTCTATTCACTTTCTATAATGATTTCCTTCTACTGTTTATCGTTCTTAAATCTGTATCCTGGTCCCTGGTATCTCCCCCTACAAACTCCTGGATATATGCAGTGGAAACAAATTATGTTTATTTCAAACTTTCCCAGTCCCTTGCTCCAAACCCAGCTCCTCCTCTTTAATTTCTGATGGAAGCTGACAGCATCATCATCTTCTACTCTTTCTCCCACATTCCATCGGTTTCCAAGTCCTACCAATTCTGCACCCTTTCTATCTTCACCGCCCCATGCTAGCTCAGACTGAATTCCTCTCACAGCAGCCTGCTCATTGGTCTTCTTGTCAATGCTTTCTCTCTCTAAACCATTTGAGTCATCCCTGTTGGATCGAACTTCCTAAAGTAGATATAACACAACTTCCCCGTGCCATCCATACCTTCATTGGTTCCTACAGCTTACTGAACATCTTCGAAATTCTTTATTTGATGCTGAAGATCTTCACAATCTGGCCCCAGCATGCTTTTCCAACTTCATTTCTACTTCTCCCCTCATGCACACTGAAGCAGCCACAGTGAGCTTCTCACTTCCTCTCTGAGAGCCCGCATTTCTACTCCACGTGTCAAAATGTAAGCCAGACCTCCCAAGACCAGCTCAAATCCCACTTTTTCTACAACTCTTTTATCCTCTTATTCTACAACTTTCTCAATCAGAAGTTTTTTTTTTTTTTTTTTTGGTTGTTTTGTTTTTGCATGTGAATGCCTATGGTTTTAAAATTCATTTTCCTTATGTTACTAACCATTTTATTCCTTATCCTACAATAGGTGTCATCTCCCCAAGTGGAATGTGGTAACTTCCGTAAAGGTAGGGTTTATGTCTGTCTTCTTTTTGTAAGCTTCACGGGGCTTTCGCAAATGATAACTCTTTGATCAATATTTGTTGATTAACTGATTGATAACATGGTATTATATTACATTATACTTGAAGACGTTATATGTCTTTGAGTCTCTGTCCTCCATGGAAGAGGACAGGTGTTCAAATGGAAGAACACCCTTTTGGGTGACTTGGAGAAAAATCATCACATAAGTCTCTAAGGAAACTGTGCAGTCCCTCAATGAAATGTTCCACAACAGCCTCTTTTTCCAACTCAGAACTAAAGGTAACTCTTTGTATTTCCTTTCTGAGGAATAAAGAGAAGCTGCCAGGGCTGCTGGCAATTGCAGAGTTCAGAAATGCTTCCTCTGAATGAGCACACTCAGCCCAGCAGGGTGCAGAGCCCTGTCTCCACCCTGCCCACCAAGGAGCTTAAGTGGCAGGCAAACTGGGCCAAAAACACCCCTTTCCCATGGAGAGGCATCTCCAGTGCAGGGCTGGACTGAGAGGCATCTCCAGTGCAGGGCTGGACTGAGAGGCATCTCCAGTGCAGGGCTGGACTGAGAGTCCAGTTAGACCTCAAGAAGAGTTGGAGGGAGGTCAGCGTGGGAGGTAGGCCAAAACTCAAGGTATTCTGAAGAATATGATTTATTCACAATATCATGCGTTCCCTGTTCAGTCAACATTTGATCATTTATGGGAGTTATCCATTGTAAAATTTCTTACAAACTGGCAGTCCTTGGATACCTAGCATGCACTCAGAATATTCTCTGTGTATATTAACTGGTTTGTGTTCAAGGAATAAAATCCAAAATTAGTACCGGCCTAAAGAACACATTATCAGAGATAAATATGCTGGAAAAATGTCTATCCTCAAAGGTTTTTTAAAAAAATTATATTTCATGTTGATCCATGTCACTGCTTCTTATCATTAGCATGGCTTATCACATAAAGGTAAGGATTTATTCATACAGAGACTGCTGCTGTGTGTATTTGTATGCAGGTTACATCTCCTTATGGACGTAGTGCAAAGTTTGCTATGAAATATAATTATACATTGGAGAAAAGTATGTCTGCATATCAAGAATAAAATGAAAATAAAATGTAAGTTGAACATATAGATGATAAATACCCAATCTGTGCTGAGCAGCTGTAGAACGACGTCTCAGGAAATTAGTATTTTAAAGACAAGATGTCATGTGCTCCTATTGACAACTTATTCCTGGCCTTATTTGTTCAACACGCAGGTCCTTCAGGTATTGCTGTAGCACAACAGAAAGAACAGTGGGCCAGAAGACAGGGAGGTCTGGGTCTAGAAGCCCAGAGACTCCACATCCCGAGTTACACATCCCCTTTCTGGTTGCCATGAGTCATCACGCACCTTCTGCCCAGAGGAGAGTTTTATTCATGCCTGCTTGAAAAGGTCAGTGTTTAGGTGTTGCAGAAGTGCTTGGTGAAAATGGGGAAGGCTGAAACACAGCCTGTGCCTCATGCTTTGATAATTTCTGAAGCATTTATAAATCATGAGCAGCTAAGGTCTGCAAGATGCTAATGTGTGCAGTCCAGTCCTCTGACTTTAAGTCTGTTTCAGTTCCTGCTCTATTTGCTCCTTTTTAATAACACAATTAGTAAAAATCCTAAAAAAGAAATAGCTAAATATTTTCCTCTCATTCTCTTTTTGCCATAATATTGAGAGTTATATGATAGTATCTTCAACTATTTTATTTGGCCTGACTTCACAAAGTACCAAACGGGGAGTGAAGATAAAATGAAGAGACAGAATCCACATATGCATCTCCCAACCTCTGTCCTTTTGAACAGACACAAGTAACAGAATTTACCAAAAGTATTAAAAACACGACCTTGGAAGCATCCTATCAAAGCCACAACTTCCTTTTCTTTTTATGAACTACTACCATGCAAAATTGCATGGCTACAGCTGGGACATCAAATCATGCTTTAAAAAATTAGTATTGGGGCTAGGCGTGGTGGCTTACGCCTATAATCCCTGTACTTTGGGAGGCCAAGGCAGGTGGATCATTTGAGGTCAGGAGTTCAAGACCAGCCTGGCCAACATGGTGAAACCCTGTCTCTACTAAAAATACAAAAATGAGCCAGGTATGGTGGCAGGCGCCTGTAGTCCCAGCTACTCACGAGGCTGAGGCAGGAGAATCACTTGAACCCAGGAAGCGGAGGTTGCAGTGAGCCGAGATCATGCCACTGCACTCTAGCCTGGGTGACAGAGTGAGACTCTCTCTCTCTCTCTCAAAAAAAAAAAAAAAGTTATTATTGGTATATTAGTAAAAGCCATTCAAAGCTCAAAAACAACAGAATTATTTTCTGAAATTCAAAATCAGTGCCAGATTTAACTACTTTTGCATAATGTTTGCCCCCACAGAACTTTCCATAATAATATTACGTCAACAGCACTCATTTTCTTTTTGGTCTACTTGTTTTACTAAATTAAAAGCCAACAGATACAACAACTCCATACTTTAAACTCCTTTTTTAATACTATTCCGAGTAACTGCCTCCTTGTTTAAATATTACAATTTTCTGACTCAATCAGAACAAAGTATTGCAAGACAAAGGTGCTATTGAAAACTTCTCTTTTTTTGGAGGAGGCTTCATAAAAGCATTCTAGCTTAAAACTGGGATTTCAATGGTCTTAACTGTGAATACCATGTAGCAGAAATGCCACTTGGCATTATATCTAGGGATTACCTGTTGAAACACCAAAGACAGGTATACTTTGATGTGGGTTACGCAGGGCCGGGTAAGTAACAAGAAATACAATTATTCTTTCTTTCTATGAATGTGGCGCTGAAGATTTGATACCATATTTGGAGCACAGATCCATCGTGTGGAGGGATGGGGAAACACAGGAGAGGGGTGCTGAGTGTGACCACATGTCCACAGGCCTGTCTGAGCTCGCTACAGGTCACACTGCATCATGAAGGACCCTGTACTCCACTTGCTGCAATTTCAATGCAAATAAAGAAAAATATCAACTACTATTTTATGAGTAAAGGACGCTGGCAAGATGCAGCCGTGGTTTGTCTTAAGAGTCCTGAAACTCAGTTAAAATACCTGATGATCGCGTTTCATTAAAAACCCCAAGGAATTTCTTTACACCATGAGCATTCTACAAGTTTCCTACCTCTCTTTAAGACTAAATATTTAAAACTCTTTAGAATTAGCATCATCTATGTGTCACTTGGCTCTAGGACACATATTCTCGGGGAAGAGCATATCCCCATTTCTATTAGGAGAAAGAATAACAGGATTTCTCCCCTCCTCCTTCATCTTGCAGATTTAGGGGTTTATCCTAGTATCATGGCTCAGGGGATTCTCACACTTACAACTCCTAATATATCAAAAAAGGAGAAAATCTCTCTTCACTGCTTAATTGTTTTGTCGAATAAGCTCTCAAAAGTTCATTTTTGTTACCTTTTTCAGGCAAAATAAGAGGCCTTTTACAAAAATTCTATTGCTAAAACAATGGAATTCTCCCGGGAATGACTTCGTTATGGAAATGAAGTGACAGCTTCTTTTATCTAGCCAGGCAGAAAGTCTGCATTTATAAAAGGCATTCAGAGCACTCAAGTGTTGTGTGTGGGAGGACAGAAAATGCTATTTTTAATTCAGATTGCAGCATTCCTCCCATCCAGGTCTTTCAGTATAATCATAATCATAATAAGACTGATGTAAAAAGAAAAAAAAAAAAGATTCCCATTCCTGCTGACCCCAGCAGAAAAAGAGAGAAAGAAAGAAAATTAAATAAATGATTAATACAGCTTCCTTCCACTTTTAGACCGTTCTGTGGGCTTGGAGATCCACCTTCGAGGCAATCAGAGCAGACTATCCATTATCCAAAGTTAAAAGCACTTTAACTCTGCTAGTAACAGCATCACGTCTTCTCACACAAATTTACATTCTTGTTCGTGTGACTTTCACTCTCCTAAGTTTGCAGGAATCGCCTGTGCCTGCTGGGAAACGCCGTGCAAGTTCCTCCATCTGTTTCCAAGACTTAACATTCCTTGGTGACAGTGCAATGGACGAGTCCAGCCTGGTGGCAGGGCCATGCTGGGAACTTGATTTCTAATGTCAATCACTGGAATGCCCTTCTAGTAAGGAAGAGGTGCCCAAGCTTCTGTTTGAGTTAACACAGACCTTTCCAGGTCAGGTGTAGAATCTGGAGTGATGAATGGAAGGGCTGGAAAGGAAATGAAGACCAGTGTAGATGTCTCTTTGCAGAAGTTGAACATTAGAGGAAAAAACAGAATAAGATGAAAATGGAATCACAAAGGGTAAAATGACTGGTTTAAGGCTATATGTGCAGGATTAGAGAAGAGATGGGGTCAAAGGGGTATTTTTTAATGAAGATAAAATTCACATAAAACAAAATTCAGCATTTTAACTGTTTTTAAAGTGTGTAAGTCAGTGGCTTTTACTCCATCCACATGTTGAACAACCATCATCACTATCTAATTCCAGAAGATTGTCATCATCCCCCTTATCCATGAAACAGTCACTCCCTGTCCCCCACTCCTCTCAGCCCCTGGCAAAGACTAATCTACTTTCTGACTCTAAGGAGTTGTCTATTCTGGATGTTGTGTATAAACTGAATCATACAATATGTGGCCTTTTGTGTCTGGCTGCTTTCTCTTGGCATAATGTTTTCAAGGCTCATTCATATTGTAACATGTACCAGTACTTCATTCTTGTTTTGGTTCAATAATACTCTATTGTAGGCTATACCACATTTTGTTATTTATTCGTCAGTTGATGGACATTTGGGATGATTCCATATTTGGGCTACTATGAATCATGCTGCTATGAACATTCATGTACATGTTTTTGTTTGAATACCTGTTTGCAAATCTCTTCAGTGTATACCTAAGAGCAGAACTACTGAGTCATATGTTAATTCTGTATTTAGCTATTTGAGGACTTGCCAAATTGTTTTCTATAGTGATTGCACCATACTACATTCCCACCAGCCAGGTAGGAAGATTACCATTTTTTCCACAAGCTTGCCAACACTTGTTATTTTCCTTTTTTAAAAAAATTATGGCCATCATAATGGGTGACCATAATAAAGTGGTATCTCATTGTGGTTTTGATTTGCATTCCCCTAAACACTAATGATGTTGGACATCTTTTCATAAGCTTATTGGCTATTTATATATCTTCTTTGGAGAAATCTCTATCCAATGCCTTTGTCCATCTTTAAACTGGGTTGTTAGTCTTTTTCTCTTTGAATTGTAAGAGTTCTTTATATATTCCAGAAACTAGACCCTTATGAGATACTGACTTGCAAATATTTTCTCCCATTCTGTGGGCTGTCTTTTGACTTTCTTGACAGTGCCCTTTGGTTCACAAAGGCTTTGATACTGATGAAGTCCAATGCATCTATTTTTTTCTTTTGTTGTTTGTGCTTTTGGTGTCACATCTAAGAATCTATTGCCAAATCCATGGTCATGAAGATTTACTCCTGTTTTCATTTAAAAGTTTTATAGTTTCAGTTCCTACATTTAGGGTATTGATCCATTTTTAGTTCATTTTTGTATATGGTGTGAGGTAAGGGTTCAACTTCTTTCTCTGGCATGTGTCCCAGGTGACTTTTTCCATTGTCTCAGCACCAATTGTTGAAAAGAGGTAAGAGAGATTTTGAGTATGAAGTGATTTTAGTCTTTTCTCTTGAAAAAACAAAACTTTAAAAATATACATTATTTTAAAAATTAATTTTCTGGCTTTTGGTTACACTATGACTGTATTCAGCCACTATTTAAATGTTTTTCCTCATCCCACATTTTAAAGATGCAGCAAGTTTTCATGAATGATGACCCACCAGAGCCATGATGCTGAGCTTTCAGGGAAGCCAACCACCTCTTGAGGTGGTGCTTTTGCAAGAACTAATTTTCAAAAGCAACAGTAGCTTGAAATTGCTGACTTTGGGTTGCATTTGCCTCTGTGTTTGTGCCCCTCTAGTGAACAGCCCCTGTCTTCAGATATCCACAGACCTCTGTTCTCTTTCCAAGCCCGACACCCACCCATTAAGATTGGCTCTTTGGAGAAAACTTAATAAACTAATTCATGCCAAATCGTGTATAACCAAGAGAAATAATAGACTTTTGGCATGATACCTAAGACTCTGTTTATCTTAAGCAAAAAGAATACAGTGTAGGTTGTAGAATTCTGGCTATCATCAATTCAGCCAATGCAAGGAGTGAAGACTTTTAAATCCCCCTAAAGCATCAGTTCTCCAACTTGGCTACACATTGTGACCACCCAGAGAGATTTAGAAAGTACTAATGTCTGGGTTCCACCCACAGAGATCCTTACTTAACTGGTCTGGGGTATGGCTCAGGCAATAGAATTTTGGAAAGCTCCCCAAGTGATTCTACTATGCAGCCAAGGTGGAGAGTCACTGTCCTGAAGTCATCAGAGGTTGCCACCTACTCCTCCCACAAAGGTGGCTCCTCTTGTCACCTTGCACCACTTGCAAGCAATTAGGGATGTACATTTACATGATTTTAAAAGTCTTATGATGTCCGATTAAAACTAACAAAACTTGAATTTCTTGTATCAGTTATCATTCACTCTTCTCAACAACCGTGTGAAAGTAAGTTTATTGTTCCCATATGACACACGAGGAAACAAACTCTGAGAGATTAATTAAGCGACAGCCCTAGATCACAGAACTTGGAAGTGGCAGAAAATTGATTTTAATACAATTGTTTCAACCCCACAGTCTGTATCATTATAATCTCCCAGTAATTTCAAAAGGGCCAACCACTGTGAGTGTGGGCATGTAATTTGGTTGCATCTTCAATGTGGCACCCATCTTGTGGAATGGGACGAGGGGATAACAACTCGCTGAAGAGAATAGCAGGCACTACCTCTGTCGGTTACTATTTACCTTTCTTTCTCTATATTGTATGCATGTGGGTGTGTGAGTGTACATAAGTGTATGTCCACCTAAGGAAAGTGGACCTCAAGGGTATATCTGAATTGAGAAACATATGGCCCAACTACAAGAAGGTACCTGGGTAGGGTTTTCAGAGATGTAGTAATTCTTTCCAAGATGTGATAAGACTGGTAAAAGGTCATGAAATATCTTCATTATGATAAAAAAAAAAAAAAAAAAAAAACATTGAGGAAACTACCAATTCATTCATTTATGGATTCATCTAATGCCCATATATAGATTACAAAGCTTAATCAGTAGTGAGTGACAAGACTGAAGAATATCAGGCAAAAATCTCCCATACTTAAATATTCAGGTTCTTATAATAGACAAGACACAATTTCCACATAATATCATCTTGTCTGCCAATGCATGGGGCACATTAACTAGCCTTGACACAATAGTAGAACAAATCAGAATTGGTAAAATGTATTATTAATGATGGTAGAAATTGGGAAGTGAGTTTCATGTCACTTTTTTCTCTTATTTTAAACTGGTGCACTCAAATGTGTAGGTTTGTGCATGTGCGTGAGTGTGCACATATGCACGCATGCACACATGCATACACACAATCACACACAAGGCTTGAGTGAAGACTCCATTTCAGTTCTGCCATTGTTCACAGGCCTAACAACTTACTTTTCCTTAAAACAAGGAAAGGAGGGTTGTCATGTTATTATTCTGTTTCCATTATTATGCCATAAGGAAACTGGAAGAATTCTTTATTTTTAAAATATTTTTAAATTTTACTTTAAGTTCTGGGATACATGTGCAGAACATGCAGGTTTGTTACATAGGTATACATGTGCCATGGTGGTTTGCTGCACCTATCAACCCATCATCTAGGTTTTAAGCCCCTCATGCATTAGGTATTTGTCCTAATTCTCTCCCTCCCCTTGCCCCCCACTCACCGATAGGCCCTGGTGTGTGATGTTCCCCTCCCTGTGTCCATGTGTTCTCATTATTCAACTCCTACTATGAGTGAGAACATGCGGTGTTTGGTTTTCTGTTCCTGTGTTAGTTTGCTGAGAATGAGGCTTCCAGCTTCATCCATGTCCCTGTAAAGGACATGAGCTCATTCTTTTTTATGGCTGCATAGTATTCCATGGTGTATATTTACCACATTTTCTTTATCCAGTCTATCATTGATGGGCATTTGGGTTGGTTTCCAGTCTTTACTATTGTAAATACTGCTGCAGTAAACATATGTGTGCATGTGTCTTTATAACAGAATGATTTATAATCCTTTGGGTATATAACCAGTAACGGGATTGCTGGGTCAAATGGTATTTCTGGTTCTAGATCCTTGAGGAATCGCCACACTGTCTTCCACAATGGTTGAACTAATTTACAGTCCCCCAACAGCATAAAAGCATTCCTATTTCTCCACAGCCTCGCCAGCATCTATTAGGAAACTGGAAGAATTCTATACAATAGATTTAGGAGCTGCAAAGGAGTAAGGATTTGCTGAAGATTTTCTTAGGCAAGTATTAGAAGTTGGTTAGATGAGAAAAGTTTTCACAAGTGGGAGTTGTACCTCCTTGTCTCCTAATTGTAGTGAATCTGTCAACTTTCTTTTCAGTGTATCAAGACTTTACTCTTCAAAATCATTCTCAGTATGCTCTGAATTGCTATACTTTTAAGTTAACTACTTCTCAAAGTGCTGTTTAAAAACTGACATCTTCAACCACATTTCAGGCTTAGAATCTATCTAAATTTGCAAAGTTTCATTGGTTCTTATGAAAGTGCTACTTAAAAAAATACACTTGACAGCCAATCTCTTGAAAATGATTTGTGCAGAAATTGTGTTCAAATTACTTTATATCAAGACATTTAAGAGAAAATGTGGTTTTCTTTGTAATAGGCTAAAAATAATGATATCCTTTATCTTCAACTGAACATGTACATATGCTGTATAAGCTGTTGCATTTAAACAAATTGAAAAACAGTAGGATTCTGGCTATAGACCGTAAAGAAACAAAACTTGCCCAGAATATCATTTTAAGCATTAAAAAATACAATTAACTGCTATTTCCCACAAAGTTCAATCCTACATACAGAATCGGAATTGTCAACCAGGTCCAAAGCATCAAATTATAAAACCTGATGTCTCAGAAATAGACAAGAAAACTCAGAAAAAATAATTATTACAGTCCAATCGCACACAAAGAAAAGTGAGAATAAAAGGCAAGTTATATAGTTTATATTTCTACAAATTCCTTTTGAGTTACTGGGCAACATTCTATTTAAGTGGACCCTTATGACAGTAGTATAATGAAAATATCCCTAAGTCATAGCCCTAAAACAATTCCCACTGAACATTTCATTGAATGCTTAGTATGTGCAAAGTACTGTGAGGTGAGGTTCAGAAATGGAGAAAGAAGGTTTATTGCTTTGAATGCAGAATATTGATTTTTAAAACACTAAGCTAATCGTCACCAACTATAATAATTTTTTATGATTCCTCATTGCCAACAGCAATGATTTTCAAATGTGTTTTTTAAAAGCCAGAACTCTGCCTTCAAACAAAATCTTATATAGAAATCTAATACACAAGATAAATAAAATTGAGGCTACTTACACTATCTAGTTTTATCGGTTCCTCCTACTCCTCATCCATCACCACCAAGTACTTCTGAAGGCAGCCCCACAGAGGTTCACAGGGCAGAGGTTGGGAGACTGAGAAATCCTCAGGCTACTGGAGAATGTGGTCTGACCTCCACCGAGCTGAGGAGTCTGTACTCCTTAACATGGCCTATGAGACCCTCTATGGTTTGCTCCTGGCCTCATGACAAGTTACCACCAATGGAGTACTGACTGTTCCCTGCACACACTGCACCATGCTGTTTGTTCCCTGTGCTTTGTCCATGCTGTCCCTTGGCAGGTGATCTCTTTATGTCCATCTTCTCTTTGACAGATGCCAAGACACCCCACAACTCTGCACAGCTGGACACAGTCTTAACTCCACATACACATTCATTTTTGGCTCACCACGCTGGCTGGTAATTATTGTTCATATGGCTTTCACTTAAACTAACCTCAGAGTAACACAAGCACAGAAAATGTATTCATAGTTATATTCCAGCTTGGAACACAGATGTTGACCTAACAGTGGCTTCATAAATATTTGTTGAATGAATGAATAAAGATGGATGGGTGAGTGGATGACATGACAATATACTTTCATCAAACTAGGGAAAAATATTTATGTAAATATACATATATATTACATATATACTTCTAAAAATTGTGGTAAACTACACAAATATAAAATGTACCATCTTAAACATTTTTAACTATACAGTCAGTGGCATTAAGTACGTTCACAATGATGCACAACCATTACCACCATCCACCCCCCAAACTCTTCATTTTGCAAAACTGAAACTTTTTAACATACGTACATTTAAAAAATTCTTAAAAATGTAATTGAATGATCTAGGGTGTGGGGTACCCAGGTTCTTCACTTCCCCCTTGCCCCCACCTGCTATATATCTTGTGCCTTTCAGCCCCACTTAGGGCATCTTTAGCAAGAAATGTGGTAAATGTGGTTGAGACATGTGGTCAATGAAACTCCTGCCTACTAGCTTAGCTACTAGCTAGCAGTTTGGGCTGCTCAAAATGAATTTCCTGGATAATTTTCCTAAGCCCTCACTGACTCCTACTCGCATGTATTGCTAGGAGCCAGCTTTCACTCCTGGGACTGGTTTGGGCTTCCAGAAAGCATGCCTTGTAAAGAACAGGGCCTGTGTGTCAAACAGCCTGTATACAACACACATAGCTTATATATGACAACCATGTGATTTTTGTCATTTTAACATTTCTGAACTCAGGACTTATTTTATATATGATTGGTACATAAAAGAGTGGTAGCACCCCCACCCCCAGAAACTAATCATTTAATCTACAGTGCATATTATCATCAGTGACACTACAGAAATCAAAGAAAACTGGTATCTATTTCATATTTGCACAGAATCGTTTTTAATTTTAAATGTTTTTCATATAATGATCACATTGCCAATCTCACACTTGGAGAAGCAAAAAGCAAAGAAGGAAAAGGACTTGAAAAGGGTGACAAGTCACTCAGGTGAATGGGATGAGGCCAGGAGGTGACCAGGCCTGGATCTGACGTGAACTGCTCCCCACAAAGACCTCTCCACGGCGCTCAGCCTCAGACTCCCCTCATGTGTAAAATAACACAGGGGAAATGAAAATTAAACCAGTGTTAAGCTGTTCCTGACGTGCTTCCTGCACCAACATTCAACCAGCTCTCTGACCTTCTTACGAGGCTCAGGAGTCCTCCTGGGGGAAAGAGCTGCAACACCTGCTATTCTACTTTGCATGGTTGGTTCAGGCTCTAGAAAATAGCAAGAGCCCACCTCCTCCTCCTCCTGCAATCAGCTCTCCTGTTTCCTTTTTTTTTTTTTTTTTAGCTTTAGCTCTACTTCTATTTTCCAACTGGGATCATGGCTACTGCCTTCTACTACTCAGCAGCTAATTACACACACCCTCCGAGGAACGTAGGCCACTGAGTGAGGGGCCCAAACTCAGCTGGACACAATCCCTGCTTATCCCTCTCAGCTGTGGTCAGCTGGACACCTAGGCACACATGGGGAAGCCACTCAGTCCTTGCCTGAAAGAAGAAAACATACCGGCAGCCCAAATCTCAACCTTCTTCACTAACAGGCAAGCTTACCATGTGTTGAATTTAACCAGCCAGCACCAAACCATCAGACTTTCTGTTACTCAGAAATAAGTAAACAGTATGAAAAAGGTCCCTTATTAGGTGGGCTCAGGGTGCTGGTATCAGGACTATTTTTGCATATTCTATCATTAGGTCAGGCTGACATCCCAAACCTTAAAAAGTTAATAAGGGAAAGAACGCATAAACGCATATAAGCTTTATATGGAAGGTTAAGTGCACTGGCAGCCTACTAAAATAGAAAGTTAAATACAGCAATGAGATTTTGAAATTTCCCCTTGCAATAAAAAAGAAGGGGCCTTAATAGGAACACAAGCCAGGCTTGCTGGAAAAGCAGTCTTTGTTCCTTAAAACAACCTGCAATTGACTACTTATGGAGGACTTAAATTTCCGGAAATATTGTACCATCACTGACCCGTGTACACGGTTATGAGGCTCCGATAACAATAGCACTCTCAGGGAGAACCGACAGTTTAACGAAAGCAAATTAGGGTCTCAGTAATAAGATGACTGAGAACATAAACTACTATGCGTCTATCTTTTAAACACTTAAGTAATTTTAGTGTTGCTTCACTTGCCAGAGTAAATGAGTTATAAAAACCTCTGCTTTCTCATAAAAGCCTCCATATACCCAACGAATGGCGAATGATGTTACAATAAGCAGCACGTGTCCCATTTCCTCCCATAAGGAATAATCCTCTTTTTGTGATTCTCCTTTTCACTTCATCTGGAGGGCAGTGTCTTCCCTCCTAGAAGAGAGGCCCAGGCTGAGAGCATCATGGTTTTGGCAGGGAACTCAGAAAATCTTGGCATCAGGGCTTACTATAAGCTGAGTTAAACAGGAATGGAAGATCATTGGAAGCCCTGGAAAAATAGAAAATATTTCTAGGGTAGCACAGAAGTTTGGCCTTTTCGCTGGTGATTTATTTCCATTTGTTCACATGATGTGACTCATCATTTGGGTGACATGGAGCAGGCAGCATCGTTTCAAGTTCATCATTTTATTAAGCAATGAGTCAAATGAAGAAAGTGGTTTAAGGGAAATGGTCATTTTCTAATGATTTTTCTCTAGTATGATTTTATTTAATAGTTTTACATAAGCAAAGCTGATGTCTCCTCTGACCTCCCCCTTTTAAAATTTCCAGAAAATAAGACATTCTGATGGAGATCAGGCCACAAGACAGTAGTTCAGAAAAGGGTAATTTTTGTTTTAATTTTTCTCCTCACTCCCTATGTAATTGGTGGCCAGGATATTGAAATTCTCTGGAAAACACAGAATCCATTTACATGATGAATTCAATGATATATTATAATGTCTTGTTCAGAAGTGTTAGGAGAATTGATGAGTTAATGTTGGTAAATCACTCTGCAATTCCCAGGTCAAAGATGTGAAATGAACATTATCATTATTTGTTTCAGTGGAGGCTCACTGGCAAAATGTGGTCTAGTGGGCCTGATTAGGAAACAAAAGCTTATAACTTTGCAGCAAGAGGGGAAAACATTTTTTCAGTACTACCTTTTACCTAATTCTCTTCTACCCTAAGGGAGTAAAGGGCATGCCAATGATTATTGATAACATCATTCAACGCCATGTAATGAGTTGACACCACTGAAATAAACCAAAGGATGTAGGGATGTATGTACAGCTGGATGGATGAATGGACAGATGGATGGATGGACAGACAAATGGCCGGTGACCAAAATACATATACTCCTCCGTGTTATATATTAAGGCTGCTTTTTTAGAACACTGTCCTTCTTACCCAAATTATCACTGTAGAAGCAGATCATCATGCTTTAAGCCTTAGAATATGATGGATTTCAATTACTGCATCATATCTGTGAGATTTTTGGTTAGGAACTTTTAATATGAATTTGTCCAATTTTTTCAGTAATGCAAAACTTTTTGGTTTAATATCTGTTGTTATTCCTACCCTTGTCAGCCAAACTCATAAAATAAAGATTTTCTAATATATGGTATTTAGAAATTCTCTGCACTATAGAAGGTGTTTGAAGTTAATGAATAAATAAATGGATAAATAGATGGGTAAGTGGCATCATCCAGCCACAGCACTGCAATGTCCGAAGGAACTCTGAAACGTTCCTCATGCCTCTAGGAAAGACTGACCTTTGAATACGCCAGACAAGTATTTTTCTTAGCAAACATTTATGAGCAATGGGCTCAATCACTATATTAGTGTTTAAGGGCTTTTCCTGTATAGAAGCTCTTTCTTTGACTGAAGTCTCCAAAGCCAAATTTACAATTATTATGTATGCCTGAATAAAAGGTAATATAATATAAGGTAATTTTTCTCCAAAGAAAGCCCTCAGAAAAGCCTAAGTACCCTTAATTTTTGAGTTCTTACAAAGTTTATTGTATCTATTGGTCTCTTAAATAAAGTAGTCTTTATGGAAGACATATTACCTTAAAACTACCTTGATAAATGCTAGTTTGGCATGTTTATATAACAGCCACCTAACAGAACTGTTTTTCCTTTTGTTTTTTAATGGAAGAAAACAAATTTGACTAGTAATTATTCTTGGAAGTATGACTTTCCTAGTTGCAAGCACTGGATGTCACTATAAATAAAAAAGCATTTTAAAGATTACTTTTAAAAGCAACACAGTAAGTGGTTAAGTTGCAGAGTTCATCAAAATACACTCACAGGAAGAATGAAGAAAAACATCTCTTAATAATATGGTTTAGGATATTGTGACAATAATGGTCCCCAATGTAGGATGCCTCCCTATAGCCATGCTCACATTAACTGTGGGCTTGGCTATATGTCTTTTTTTGGCCAATGGGGTCTCAACAAATGTAACCAACGAATATAGGAATGGGCACTTGCGGCTTAGGATGAAATTTCTGGTAATAGCATCAAACACAGAGTAGATGAACGTCAAGATGATGTGCTTTGGAAAACGATACTACATGACCTGCCATGTAGTTCAAAACGTGAGGAAGATACTGATATAGTAGATAAAAGTTGTAAGTAAAATTATTTCATATAATATGAAAGTGGAAGAAAGCAGTATGTCTAAATTAATGTATATATTATTTAAAATGTCTTTGAGATTAAATAATTTAAGCACAAATCTGATGGTTTAATAGAAATCTCTAAATCCTT
The DNA here is from genome assembly GCF_000001405.40 of Homo sapiens. Lineage (NCBI taxonomy): Eukaryota > Metazoa > Chordata > Mammalia > Primates > Hominidae > Homo > Homo sapiens. The sequence continues at coordinate 16,508,410 of NC_000006.12, forward strand.
AAATGCTTATAGACAAACTGGCCAAAAAATTCATTGAAAGGATAAAGGATGGCATAAATATGAACTTCTATGGTATAATGCAGGCCCAGACTTCTTGAGCTGCAGGCCTGAAGACTCAACTGTCTATCTGAAATATCCCCTAAAAAAAGGTCTCAAACCTCCAACCTATTAGGATGGCTACTATCAAATACATTTTTTTAACCAGAAAATAACAACTGTTGGTGAGGACATAGAGAAACTGGAACCCTTGTGCACTGTTGGTAGAAATGCAAAGTGGTGCAGCCACTGTGGAAAACGATACAGCAGTTCATAAAAAATTTAAAAATAGAATTGCCACGTGATCCAGCAATTCCATTTCCAGGTATATACCCAAAAGAACTGAAAGGAGAACCTCAAATTTGTACACCCACATTCATAGCAGCATTATTCACAGTAACCAAAAGGTGGAAACAACCCAAGTGTTTATGGACAGATGAATGAATAAACAAAATGTGATATATACAAGAGTGGAATATTCATCAGCCTTAAAAAAAGAAATTCTGACACATGTTACAACATGGATGACCTTGAGGACATTATGCTAAACAAAAAGTCACAAAAGGACAAACCCTGTGTGATTCTACTCATAGGAGGTCCCTAGAGCAGTCAAATTCATAGAGGCAGAAAGTAGAATGGTGATTACCAGGAGGGAGGGGGAAGGGGGAAGGGGGAATTTATTGTCTAATGGGTACAGAGTTTTGCAAGACACAAACAGCTGAGACTGGATGCACAACGAGAATATACTGGATACTATCAGGCTGTATCTTGAACCCAGCTACCTCTCTCTGATGCCACTGCCACCATTCAAGCCCAAGCCACTGTCATTTTCTATCCTGTCAACTACAGGTTTCTTACCTGGCCTCCCTGTTTTTCTTGCCATCCTTTTAATGTCACAGTAAAAAGTGTCATGAAAATAGCAAAGCAGGGTAAGAAGACCGGCATACTATGTTAGATAGGATGGACAAGGAAGGCCTCTTGGAGGTGACATTTGTGCACTCATTCAGGTCATTTTTCCATTCAAAAGCATTCGATAGCTCATTCTGACTGTCCTATTTATGGTAATTCTGTAGCCATTCAGGACTGAAACTCTGACAGCCCCTGGACACCTTCTGATCCTTCTCTCTCTGTATCGCATCTAGTCTCTATTTTCCCCATTGCTAAGAGTAATCATGCTATCTGTCCTATCTACTACTCCTTCTCTTGGAATGGGCTGTCACTCCCCACTCCCGTCTATCCTACATATACATGCCAGATGAATCTTTCTAAACTGCAGTTTCAATCTTCTTTCTCGTTTCAAAATCTCTTGTTGCTGGTTCCTCTTCGCTTCCTGAATTAAGTCCAGAGTTTCCATCCCAGACTGTCTGACAGTCTACAATATGGCTTCCACTTACCTTCCCAACTGTTATCTCCCACTTTTCCCCATCACAGGCATACGGGTGGCCCCTTGTTCCAGAACGTACTCTTCACTTTCCAGAATCTGCGTCTCTGGTCTCAATGGCCCTCGCACGCCTCCCCGCAATCCCTGTTGCAAACTAAAATCCCATTCCCAAATCACCTTCTCTGTGGAAATTGGCCTGATCTTCCCAATCAGAAGTGATCACTTCTATCTTTAACCCTCTGAAGCGTGTTTTTACTTTTATATACAGTTTATCACCTTCTGTCTTATGCCATACTTATTTGTATACTTCTCCTAGTTCCTTTTCAGATCATAGGATTTTTGAAAATCAAATATGGCTTCTGTCTTCTGCATCACCTAGCAACTTGTTCCTCAAAGTGTCTTCCTGGGACCAGCAGCATCTCAGGCCCTATCTCAGACCGACAGGATCAGAACCTGCATTTTAACAATATTCCCAGGGGATTCCGACCCACTTGATCAAGCTCACAGCAGCCACTCATCTCATACTTGACTGGTTGAACTGACTAGGAAAACAAAGTAGGAGAAACCAAACATAACTTACATAACTCATTCAAAGATCATTGTGAGTGACTAATGCTTTACCTATATAAAACTAGGGCCAGGCACAGTGGCTTATACCTAGCACTGTGGGAGGCAGAGGTGGGAGAATCACTTGAGTCCAGGAGTTCAAGACCAACCAGAGGAGCACAGTGAAACCCCATCTCTACCAAAAATACAAAAATTAGCTGGGCATGGTGGCACACACCTGTAGTCCCAAGCTACTTGGGAGGCTAAGGTGGGAGGACTGCTTGAACCCCAGGAGGTTGAGGCTGCAATGAGCTGTGAGTGCACCACTGCACTCCAGCCTGGGTGACAGAGTGAGGCCCTGTCTCATAAATAAATAAATAAATAGAAATAAAAATACAGTAAAGGTATACAGAAAGCAGAAGGTTAATTTTACCAACCTTCTGAGGGAGGAAGACAAATGTCACCTTGGCCAACCAAATAGATCTGGGAAGATTTTGTCTTTTTATAAAGCTTGTCTATTTAAGGGTGGGAAGTCAGCAGAAAAACTGCTTGCCAATAGTACACTTCTCCCACTTTAATGAAATCGGTTGGCTGTGAAAATATGTGCATCAAAGTTTTAAAGAGTTTTCTGTCACATCCAGTAGACTTATAATACAGATTGCTACAGATGGAAGATTTATCCTCACTTGATGTAGCAACAGCACTACGTTCTTTGAACTGTAACAAAGCTTTTGATTTTTTTTTTCCCACGTGGTAGATGAATCTTAGTAAGAAAATACAGACTTGATATGACACATACTCAACTACTGTAAAGTGGGTGCTTAATTTAGTTAGGGAGAGGAAGGGGTGGAAGCTGGGGAAAGTCCTGCTTAGAGGGCACCTCACTAGCCACTAGAGGGCATTAACATGTGAATAAAATCATCCTGATTTCCAGGATTCAAACAGCAGACACCATGCATGGGAATTAATGGGGCTCTGCTTCACTCTTCCTTTCCCTTTATAAATGTCCAGAGAGCTAACAACTGCAAAGATGTGGAAGTATATCTAAACTCTTTTTATGTTTTAACACAATAGACATTTAAGGGAATAAACTTGAGCCATGCTAGCTCCAGGACTAGGATTGACATATGTTTCCTTCAGGGTGCCCGATTTCCATTCTTCAGAAGTCCACAACCTTCTGAATAACAGAGGTCTTTTCTCCCTCAGAATCAACCTAGCAACAAGTCCGAAACCTCCAAAAACTTCTCATACCTGTAATCCTAGCACTTTGGGAAGCCAAAGTGAGAGGATTGCTTGAGCCCAGGAATTCAAGACCAGCCATGTCTCCAAAACTTCCAAAAACTTCTCCAGCCTGCTTGCTAAAAATTCAAGTTGATAGTCCACCCATTGCAAAAGGATATTTCCTTCAGGAAGCAGGAGGAAGATAAGCGAGGCTGGGGAAGACTGAAGACAACAGTCCTCAGTTCTGAGGAGAATGAGCGGGAAGTGATTGATGGTCAGTCCCAGGCCACCGCCCTGCCTTAGTGGGTGTCTTTGCCACGAGGTGGCCTTCCAGGTAGCTTGGCTTCCTTCTGCACCTAAGCTTATAATGGCAAGACTAACCTTGCCTCTCCAGCCCCCATCTTTCTCCTCAAACGGTCCCTCTAATCTTTGTACATACTCATGGGTTCAATTACCAGGCAGGATGCCCTGAGGCAGCCAGGTGTTAGTTGGCAACAGAACACACAAAGGCCTCCCCGCCTCCATTCAGCGTCAGGGTGATAAAGATATCATTACCCTCAAAGCCAGCTCCTCAGAAGTTCTGCCACCACGGCAGATATGAAAGGCTTTACCACATAGTTTTCATACACAGTTCTTCTTCCTCAGAAAGCACCATTTGTTTGAGTATCCGTAAATAACTCCTACAGAAGACACAATTTGCTCTAATGTTTTGGAGCTATGGAATTTATTATGATCACAGAACCAGGAAATAGCTGAATGTGAAAACAGGAACATCTCAAATCACCCCTCAGCTCTAAGAAGAGTAACGCATTTCAAATTAAAAGCAAAGTCATTGCTGTGTTTACTGTTCTCTCTCAATGAGGGGCCTGCACTCCCAGGACAGTGTCAGCATACTTAGCTTTTCAAATACTAAATAAAAACAACAGCATCTCCAAGTTCTAAGCATTTATAAAAGGTATTCTCTTTTAAAGATAAAGACAAGTTTAGAAGGCAGGCCCCTTTTTTTGTCGCAATCGGTTAAAAAGTGAAGAGAAATAGAATGGGCTGAACAAAATATATAGCAGGCTCTGTGGTCTGCTTTTTCTAAAAGTTCTGCCCACAGATTTTCAGACACCAACAGCAACAAACAGTCATTCCCTCCCTCCTGCAAGTGAGGGTGACAGCCAATGCCAGGAGCTACAGCAACAGAAGAATGTACTTTAAAAGAGAGACAGGAGAATGGCTTAGACCCTCTACCTGCCATCACCATCACCTCCTAACCAGAAATGACAACAAGCAGCACTTTCTAGGAATTTGTTAGTGGCTGTGATCATGTGTCCTTCTTGCACTCACGTTTCTCTTTTGACCAAATATTATTTAGTAAGATGTGGTTGAGTGGCCCCTGGGAATCACCATTGAAACAGAAGGCTTTCTAAGTAAAATATCTGTTCAGTATCTGTTCTTGCAGTGCAAAGCACATTTCAAAAGTTCAGCCAACGGCTAGGAAAATGTTTGGGGCACGCAGAATCCCTTCTACGCCAACAGAACTAATCTCATGTATGCATTTTTCAGCTCCTGAGTTGAGAAGACATATTAAAAACCCAGCAACATGTTTATCTTCATTAAACAGCAAATGTCCTTTCAAACAATATACAACAGGGCAGAGATCACTGTTTGTGCTAATGGAAAGTGATCAAAAGCCCCAAGATTCTTTGGTTAGCTGACTCTGAAGCCTGCTCGTGCTTGAGTTTCTACACAAAGTACATCAAAAGAATATAGATATCACTGGAGATTCTAAATGTTTAAAGTCTCTAGGACTAGCAAGAAAATATGCTTGAAACTATAGGAAATGGGGAACAGAACATTACTGTTGACTTCCACCTTTTCCCTGTAACACAATACATTACAATCTATAAATAGCTTAGGCTGTCTGTTTAAATATGCACCTCCCCCGGAAAAGATAGAGGCTTCCGATCATCTTGCTATTTGCAAGGAATCTTACTCACAAATCAATCTAACAGGCCACGGTGATATTATGGGGATGTAAAAGGGACTGAAATGATCAAGAGCGTCACGTGTCTTCCAAGCCAAGTGGGGTCCTATGCCTTGCTGGTTTGAAGAAGTGGGAGAAACTTCATCAAGAGCAGCAACTCAGGTGTCTGTCCACCAGAGTAAGCAGGAGGTTCTGACCAGCAAGGGTAGCCTAGGGCATGGGAGGGAGGGAGACAGTGACTTTAAAGCTTTCCTGTTCTGTCACACTTCCTGCACCTCTGCCCAGAGGTGGCTGCTCCACAGACCCAAGCAGAAAGCAGACAAGAAAGGCAAGATGTCAGGAATTCTCTTCTCTCCCAGTAGCATCTTTCCTGTTCTAGCCTAAATGCAGGGGAAAAAGATTTGGGGCTGAGGCACCTCTGAATCCCAGGGAGCTCAGGAGCTCACTCTGATTCCTTGGAGCTGAAGAGTTGCTGTGTGCAAGCTGCACACAGCCGTAGCGTCTCTCATTAGACTCTCTTCTACCACTAGAGCCAGGCAGCTATGAAGAGTGACATGACCAGCCAGCCCCAGAAAGCAAAACGGGAATGCAATCAATACATGCCTCCTCTCGCCCATCAAACAGCTTTCTTCCTCCTTTCTCCCAAATCAAAACTGACTCCCTCTTGTTGGATCACAAAGAGCAAGAACGCAATGTGCAGTAGCCTTGTGGAGCTTAAAAAAAAGAAAAACAAAAAAAGACTGTCAGCTTGCAAGAATTTTACCAACCGGCAAGACATTACCCCTCATGTCCCAGAGCCATAGGGAGGCTGCGTCTGAGAGCGAGGCACACCAGCAGGAGAGAGACAGTTCTCATGGGTGGATGGTGAACCCTCTCTTATCAACAGCTAGACTCAGCAACCACACATTCCGTTTTACTTTCTCGCCCACATTCAAACCATTTTATCTCCACTAGAGGGCCAGGATGGAGATGAAATTTCAGCCTGGCAGTTTTGCTGCTGATTTAAGATTTGATCCTAAACCTTGGGGAGGGAGGGCTCGAAGGAAGGGAGGTGGGGTTAAGGCAACTCAGATACTCACGTGGGCATATCTGGGTCCCAGGCAATCCCTGGGTTCTGCCACAGGCTCTCTATCTCATGGGATGACACTGTTATTAAAATAATATCCACGGCACTTTGGGAGGCCAAGGTGGGCAGATCACGAGGTCAAGAGATCGAGACCAGCCTGGCCAACATGGTGAAACCCCATCTCTACTAAAAATACAAAAAATTAGCCAGGCGTGGTGGTGGGAGGCTGTAATCCCAGCTACTTGGGAGGCTGAGGCAGGTGAATCACTTGAACCCGGGAGGCAGAGGTTGCAGTGAGCCGAGATCACGCCACTGCACTCCAGCCTGGCGACAGAGCGAGGCTCTGTCTCAAAATAATAATAATAATAATAATTAATAATAATAATATCCATAAAGTACAACACAGGACACCTTCGGTAGCCACCTAGGCTCAAAAATTGGGTTATCTCTGACTCCATTCCTTTCATTGTTTCTAATACCCAGTTGCTCAGTTTGTTCAACTCTTTCTTTGTAGTGTCCTCCACATCGGTCCCTTTGTAACACGCCCACAGTAGTTCTCAAAACCTTATCTCCTTACGCCTGCAACTGCCTTCCCTCTGGGACCCCAGTCTCTTTTTTCTCCACCATCTCACGGGATATGGACACAGCTGTAAAGCTCATCTCACTAAAACATGGTTCTTCACATCCCCAACTTGTTGAAAAATCTCCAGTGACTGCCAACCCCCAGTTCAGGACCCCTCCCCACAGCACTGCCCATTTACACAGTGACCACTCCTCCCTCCCTACCACTACCACCCCCAAACCACAAACCAACAAGAAGCACCGTGTCCTGGGAATCTGTCAGTGGCTGGGACTCAGTCCTCCTCGCAGGCAGGTTTCTCTTCACCACATAATACACACGTAGCGAATGTGGTTGAGGGGTCCCCATTCTTTGGTCTGACACATGTGGTGTGACCCCTATCTCCCTGTCCAAGGCAGTCTCCCCCTTTCTCTCTATGAGCTGTCCATTCTCCGTGTTGAGTCCTACACGGAGCTTCCCACTTACTTTACATGTTAGATTGCTGTGTTTTCCTCAGCATATGCGTGGCCCCTGTCTGGAAGCCCCTCTTCGTTGATCTGGAGCTGAATTGTGGTCTGTTCACCAGGACCCCAGATGAAAGATGAAAGCATGAGAGAAGCGGATGCAGGAGGGGGATGGTATAGGGTGGTCCATACACCTGGGATGGAATCATGGAAGCATCCCAGACAGGTTAACTTTGCCTTAATAAAGCTTCTTAATTTTTAACAAGCCTAATGATCTCCATCTCATTCAGGAGGAACAAGGTCAGAAAGACAAGATGGGACCAGATGACTTGTGAACTGTGAGTTGAGCTCTGGACTGTTAGACAGTGATGTGTCTAAGACAAGGCCAATGTCTGGCAGGCCGGGGCTTTAGCGTAAGTTTAGCCACCTGCTAAATTGAGTTTAATTTGCCCGTGTCCTTATGATTGTCCCATCACCATAGCTAATTAATGTTAACTATGTTGTTATTTTTATTAATGCTCTTTTAATTTTAGTAAATATTTTTGAGCCAGATCTGACTGTTCCAAGCCTGGGCTTTGGGGGCTGCCAGGTATATTACTGCTACAACACCATCAGGAGCAAGTCACAATGCATTCTTAAGTTCATTCATTCTTTTACCCTACACGTTATCGAGCACCTACTGTGTGCTGTGTGAGAGGACTGGGACGTTGGGAGTTATACAAAAAGCTAAAAGCCATGCTTAGGACATAGCAGGTGACAAGTGTCCCTTCTAGGCCAAAGCTTTGAAGCATTGAATTGCTGGTGCAATTTTCCAATTTTTCTCTCTTCCAGTGATCATGAAAGAGGCCCCTAGATGGCTGGATAAAAAGATCAAAGCAGACTGCATCATGGAGTTATGCATGGAGGACAGTTGTCCTGGAGAGATACTGCATCCACAGCGGTCACTGTATGAATGAGAAATAAACTTTTATTTTGCTAAGCTACTGAAAGTTTAGGGTTGACCTTTCTGCAACAAAAGCTTATCCTATCCTGACTAATACAATAGCTTTTATTTTCTCTATTATTACCATTTGGTAATGAATCATGTCTAACAATGCCTTGTGCTAGGCTTTATATTTACTGCCCTCAGTATCTTTTAATTGCCTTAATGTCACTTTTACTCACTCCTTGCCACTTAATGAGACAAGAGCCTCTTGAAGACAGTGACCTTGGCTTGTACTTTCAGGGCTTACCTTTTCACCCTCCAACTCACATTTTCCTTCCTCTCATCATTTTCCCCAAAATTTAGTTGTGAGCCTCGCAAGCAGTAGCTGCTTAACTCATAACTGATGACTTGATATTTTCCCACTAGGAAATAATTCCCAATACGTAATAACAATTATTCATTTGCATTAACCAATACCACCATGCAGGCATGGATCATCAGGAATTAAGTGCAATGGCTACAAGAAGGCATTAGCTATTCATCTGTGAATTTATCTTAGCCATGGCCTTGATTCTGTGTCAACCATGGCTCATCATTTTTACTTATTTGTGTTGACCCTAATGTCTTTAGGTCTATTTAATGATTTTGGTCTGGGCTTCTAAAATTCTCATTCAGTCATTTGTTCATTCACACAAATACAGTAGTCAGTTTCTGAGAGGTAGCAGAGAAAAAAAGCTATGGAGTCAGGCTAGCTGTGAGACTGTGGGCCAGCCACTTGACCTCTTCATGTCCCCAGTTTCCTTTCCCACAAAACGAGTTTAAAATGTATCTTGTAAGGTTGTTGTGAGAATTACACAAGTTAATATATGCAAGATACATAAAAGTTATTTTAAATTTTAAAATAAAGCAGTACTGGGCATGTTGTAAGTGCTTAGAATGCTAATATTATCATATACTGAGCACCTACTACATGGCAGATATTAGAGGAACAAGAATGATTAACAGGTTCCCCAGTTCTTCAAGCATTTGCAATCTAGTAAGGGTAAAAGATATGTAAACAAATAAGTGAAGTATTACAGAGCCAGAGAGAGAGAGAACACAAGTACATACAAATACATATGCACAAAAGGATACAGGTATGTAGGTGCACACACATGCATACAAAGATACACACATGCACACTCACCTACATGAGAGCACACACATGCACACATGCCAACTACTGCCAACTGATGAGCTACATACAGAGCAAGAAGAGACCACGATTGCTGAACTAGCTCCTACAGACTTGCCAGACAAGACAGGGCACCAGGGATGTCCAGGTAATTAAAGAGTGTGAGCAGAGGCATCAAACAACATCTATGTGTTTATTCATTCAACAAATATTGATCAAATGCCTCCTATGTGCTTGGCACAGTTTTAAATACTGGGATACATGCAGTCCATGAGACCGACAAGGCTTTTGCTTCCACTGAGCTAATTCTAATAGAGGAGACTAACAATAAACCAGCAGTCGGATGCAGAAGCCCAAGCGCCACGAAGAAAACAACAGGTAAGAAGGCTTGAGTGAGCTGGGGGCGGGTAGGCCTGATGGGGTGCAGGGAGCAGAAATATGGCCAGAGCAGGAAGGAAACGCCACGCCCCACCCCAGCTTTCTATGGGGGAGGATTTCCCTTATGCCCTCTGACCTCTTGCTCCAACCTTTTCTTCCCCAAGGGTGTGGAATGAGTAACCCGGCTGGGGCTAAAGCCAACGTGGCCTATGCCCCCTCCTTGGATAGGGTGAATCTATATAATTTTGAGCAGGGTTAGCAGGGATTTGGGCCTCTTTCTCCTTCCCTCTTCACACAGACAGGTGCCTGTAGACTCAAAACTTTCCTGCAGGTGGCCTGCGACCAGGCTAGACTGGGGAACAGGCAGGTGTCAAGTTAGCTCATTGCCCTCAGTCACATAGTTGCATTCTGGCCCCCGTCTGCCTCAATACTCTTGTCTTATTTCTCAGTGGGCTCAGAACTTGGGACGGGAAGAGAACTCTTGTAAGATAAAAGTTTCCATAAGATAAAAACCTTCCCTCCCCTAAACAGACCTCAAAACCAAATTAGGAATCACTATCCTAATCTATCAAACCTAATCTATCTGTCATCTTAATGGAAAAATCCCTCAAATCTCTTACTTAATAGTCCAAAACGCTAGACTGAGAAGTCTGATCCCAAAGACAAATTCAATACAGTGAATATTGGGAGTGAGGTGGGAAAAAGGATGATTTTGGTGCCAGTATAAAACCCAGGGGTATATGCTATGGTCAGTAGCCAGAAAGAGGAAGATGAGGAAATATGAAGCCTTTAGATATTCTTACCTTGTGACTTTATATCTGCATTAAAAAAACCACATTAGGAAAATAATTTCTTGAGTTTATCTTTTCTTTGAAGAACTGAACAACATTTTCAATATATTTACACACTTGCCTCACAATTTCCTTGGGAGATGGAGTGAGAATATAACGTTGTCGTGAACAAATATTAATGTCATGGTTACTATCTGCAGAACTCAGTTGTGAGCATTAGAGAAATTTTTTTAAGAGGAAGAAGAAGATACATGTTTCGTATCCTTGAAGGGCTTAGCCTCGACCTAGAAAACACTCAGGCCCCCAAAGCAATATATATGAAAAAAGGAAATACAAGAGCAATGTCAAATGGATGGTAAAGATTTTTAAAAATGCTTCAGGAGTTCAGAGGGGAAAAAAAGTATCCGTTGGAACTAAGAGTTCTTACAATTCTTTCATCAAGGATTATATAGATGAGGAAACATTAGAGAAATGTGAAAGCCCCAACCACACATCAGTAGAGAAACTGCAATTAGAAACTGCCTCTCTGGTAAGAGCTCCCAGAAGATGAGAAATGGGTATTGCATTTCTCTGTGCAGTCCTACTGGGCCTGGCATTGCAGGCTCCACTGGTAGGTGTCTCCTCAATCTGCAGCATATTAAATGAGCACTCTGTTTCCCTGGATTTCACATTGCTCCATGTCACTACCCACACATTTCAGCCAGGAGCAGCTGACCACGATGCCCAGGAAGTACCCTCCCCACCAGGTCATTCTGACAGAGCCGCTGTGCCACACACAGGGAGGATGAAAAGCACAGACTCTCCACCTCCTTTCAATTGCTAAGACAGGCAGGTGCTGCCAACCCTGCTGACCCATTCAGAGGCCTGCAGAACACTCCTACAGGCATTGCCTTGTCTCTCATCAAGTTCCAAGATGGACCGAGACAGGAGGCAAGTGTTAATAGCAAGAGTAGATAGTAACCATTACGAAAACCACATTCTCCGCATATCACAGGCCCCAGGAGGGGAAAGGCAAGAGAGGATAAGGTGGGAAATAAAAGAGGGTATCAGGGCTGCCCTCATCCTGCCCAGGATACACTGGCTGTCACAGTCATTATATGTTTTCTGGCAGCACAGTCACGTTGCTATGGAACCAATGCATGTCATTGCCACCTGGCCTCTAGCAAATAAAATCACAGCGCTGGCAAGAGCATTTCCCTGGATTTCCCTTAAAGAGATACCATTGATGGTGAGTGCTGTTTGAGCTTAGAAACAACAGCAGCATTGTTCCCAAGACCCAGCCCCATTGCATACCATGAAACTGAGCCCAGGGACTCACGTTTTACAAGGTATATATGCATGTGGGGGCCAGCTTCTGAGCTTCTTTTTAGGGAGAAAAATACTCATGGCTTCTATCTGTGTTTAGTTTTTTCTCATTTGGTAAAATAAAAAAATTACGGCTTGTAATATTTTGGATAATAATTTGATGCCCTCTTGAATGTCAACATCAAAGTGCTCATGACCCCAGAAGGAAACCAAAGTAGCCACAAGTGGTCTACATGGGTTCAGGCAGTCCTTCTTTCATTCCTTCACCATTTCTTGCCTCAGACCCTTCTCTACCAGTTTATTCTTTACCCAAAGAATCCTATGATGTAAGCATGGAAATGGACATTTCTTCACTTTCTCAAGGCCCTTAATTGCCCCCTTCTTTTAGTCTAATTAATCTCTTGACTCTAAAGAGACCTTTACAGTCCCCAGAGAGCAACAGGTGTCAGTGACCCACATTGTACTGTGGTGTGCTCTGAGAATAAACTTTTTGGGCTTTTCTCAGATAAGACAGGAAAATGGAAACCTTCACAGTTCTAATGAATGCTAACTCGTGTAGACCCAGCTCTGTGGACAGGAGCGATCAATGTTAGGGTAACTCAGCAGATGATCCCTCACAAATCAGCAATCTATGTTCTACATTCCATTCAGTATGTTGGTAGACACCAATTACGTCTGTATGTACATAAGGAGATGATCAAGTTCCGCAATAATGACTCTAGTTAGGGAAGAAGACAAAGTGATTAAGCTGACAAGTTGGATAAAATAATAAACACAAGCTCTTAATACTACCCTTTGACCACTCCCTAGGTGAGATGAAATGTTTTGGAAATAAGTGCACTTAGTTCACCAACCTAAATGAACACAATTTGAAGCCAGATTTAACCTAGGATGTCTAAAAAAACAAACAAACAAACAAACAAACCACACACACAGTCAAGTTTACCTTCTGGGATTCTAACTGAGAATCATATTCTTAACTTCTCTCCATCTTATTGCACAACTGCACTCTTATGTAAAAACCAACATAACTTTAAAAAAAACGAATAAATGGGGCCGGGCGCGGTGGCTCACGCCTGTAATCCCAGCACTTTGGGAGGCCGAGGCGGATCACGAGGTCAGGAGATGGAGACCATCCTTGGTAACACAGTGAAACCCATCTCTACTAAAAATACAAAAAATTAGCCAGGCATGGTGGCAGGCACCTGTAGTCCCAGCTACTCAGGAGGCTGAGGCAGGAGAATGGCGTGAACCCGGGAGGCGGAGCTTGCAGTGAGCCGAGATCGTGCCACTGCACTCCAGCCTGGGCGACAGAGGGAGATCCGTCTCAAAGTAAATAAATAAACAAATAAAATAAAAGAATAAATGTTTCTCAAAAGTCTCTATGAAGGTCAGATTTGTACTTCAATATAGGAACCCTGTTAGCCATTCTTCTGCAGGTGCAGACAACCGCGAGTCGGGTGTGTGGGTCTGCAGCTGGACTGCACACACCTGCAGGTGTACCATGACTTCTAGCTGCAAAGCAGATGTACCACCAAGTCTCAGCACATGACAACGTGGCATTGCAGATGCAGTGGTTTGGAAAGGGCGCAGAAGAAAATAAGCTTTCTCAGATGACATCCATAACAGAAGTGTTCTGGGTGCACTCACTCTGCCAACCCCTTTACTTAGTAGCCAACTAGGATTATGAGAAAGTCAAATAGTCTATCAGTATCAGTCTTGACCCTTGCCTTAGGGGTGATCATTATTAGATTACCAAGACCACATTAAGTTAAACTACCTATAACTCTACAGCCTCAAAAAGAATCTGCAGATTCCAAAACCAGACTTGTGCAGGGCAAACATCATGCAGCTAGGAGCCAAACACACCAGTATCAAAATCCTAGCTCTGCTACTCTCCATGAAGCCCCATAAAGGTGATGTGAGCCTCTGGGCCTCAGATGCCCCATCTGTACATAGGGCCTTTGCCAGACAAGCTCTCAGGTCTCATCTGGTGCTCATATCCTGTTATTCTTGGTCATGGAATTCAAAAGACATCACAGTCACTTGAAACTGGATGGTTCCCCCTTGCCTACAGCTGTATCTCTGTGCACCAGTTGCTGAGGGAAAGAAACTTCCTTTCTGTGAGCTGGACAAGGTAATAGCAACAATGATGACCTCGCACGAGGCAAAGCATGTGAACGGCAAAAAAGAAATCGCAGAAAAATCTACAAGGGAAACCATCCTCTCCAAAGGACCCAGTGATGAGGAGAGTCAAAGAATAGGAAAAATACCTTGGTTCCAAGCAGGAGAAAACTAGAGAGTGCATGCTGTCACACACTTTTTCTTGGTGCATCATAGTAATTGGATAATATTTTGATGTGGGTAAAAATACATGAAAGATTCAAAGGATCACTCACCCTATGAAAACAGCACGTCGATTTCTTTCTCACGAAGAAAATGGTCTAATTTCTTTGGAAAACTGGAATAGAAAAAAAGATTTTTTAAAAAAATTAATAACTCCATTCTCTAAATCAGTCCAAATGAGCAGGCCTAGAGGTGATAAGAAATTCCAGCCCCTAGCACTTTGGCCTTTATTAGGTGCACAATAAATGTCTGAAGAACAATAGATGCGTGATTATTTGGCTGACTATATGAATTTTAAAAGCAGAGCTTTGAACAATCAATATGTAGAGAACAATCACAGGCATGATTCATTTATCATGAGATGTATGGTCCTTGTGACAAGGAGTCCATATTGTGGTGCCCAAGAAATCAATTTTTTAGGTGCCTTTCTTAAAATGTCATGTCCTCCATGCCCACCATGATGCTTATTGAAGAAGTCTTTTTTTGTATTTTTTTGAAGTAATGTTTCTGTAGAGATGGGGTCTCACTATGTTGCCCAGGCTGGTCTTGAACTCCTGGCCTCAAGCGCTCCTTCCACCTCAGCCTCCCAAAGTGTTGGGATTACAGGTTTGAGCCATCGTACCCAGCCGTGTTTTATTTTTTTGAGATAGGGTCTTGCTTTGTTACCCGGGTTTGTCATAGATCCGTGCCCATTTTATAGCTGGAAACCCTGAGGCCCAGGGGACTGAGCCACTTGCTCACGTGCACATGGCTGTGAGTGGCAGAGCTGAGCTCAGACCCTGGGATCCTCCCTCCAAAGTCCCTCTCATGGGGGAATTCAGTGACCGTGGATGGGGATGCCATCATAGCTCACTGCAGCCTCCAACTCCTAGACTCAAACTCCTGCCTTAGCCGCCAAGTAGCTGGGACTACAGGCATGTGCCACCACACCTGGATTAAAATGTTGTGTTTTTTCTTTATTTGCGGAGATGGAGTTTTGCTACATTGCCAGGCTGTGAAGAAGTCTTAATAAATAACCAAAGTACCCCATTCCTGCACTTTGCTCTTTCCCAAAATGGTATACCCACAGCTTCACTCCCTGCAGTGATCTGTATGTAATTAGGCTCATATGGGAATGTGGACTTGGCAGAGGGGCGCTGGAGGCCACATATCAGGCTGACTGAGTAATCCCGTGAGGAAGCCACAGTGTCTGAGATACTGACGGGCCAAACAAAGTGTGGGAAAGAACAGAGATGATGTGAATGTTGGACAGAGGAAGCCTGAAAGAAAGGGAGATAAGGGAGCGACGGCAACAGACTATTTAATCTACACCACACAAGGAACTAAGTTCAAGATCCAACTCAACAATAATCTCCAGAGACTATTTTAAAGACGCCTTTGCAGGTTTAAGAGAGGCTGTGAGGCAAAGCTATTCCAGCTCCTGATGTTCTGTGGGCAAGTTTCCCAGGATTCCAGCATCTTTGGGATTCATTCTATGAGCTGTGGAAGGCCACAGCTTTCCCGCCCTTTTCATCAGAGGACGTGGACGGCATGTGGCCGGCCACCAGGGCAGGATAGAGCTTTTTCAGGATGGCCCACCAGCCTGCAGGAAGATTCCCAGACTCAGTTCCTCAGAATCTGAAGGGCACTCCTCCAAGTCCCACAGAGCAGCCCACAAGTGTTTAACATGACACTTACTATGCAGTCAGACTATCCTAGGCTAGGTGGGGCTGCAAAGACAAAGGTTATGCTCCAATTGAAAAAAACTGCCAGAAAGCCATGCAAACATTGAAAAATGGTAGATACTGGCAAAATCTCTGAGTATCTTCTTCGTTTTAAAGCAACACTTTATAATCCACTCACACGCATTGACCTTTTCATCCTAACAACAGACGAGACGTCTACAGTACGAATTCTTGAGACCACGAAAACTGATTTCAAAGTCAGACCTCAGTCTGAGCCTCAGCTGAGTCACAGAGGAGCTGTGTGGTTCCAGTTACTTAAACTCTCTGAACCCTTTCCTCATTTGTATAATGGCAATAACAATATCGACTTCATAGAATGTTTCTAGTTTTTAGTGTGGCGCTTGGTACACAGAAGAGACTGAATAAAACAAAAAGGCATTATCACCATTTGGCACACAACATGTTCATATATCTGTAACAATGGAGGAAAGACACAGGAGAGACTTTGGTGACTTAATAATTTGCCAGAATGTGACTGGGCGTGGTGGCTCACTCCTATAATCCCAGCACTTTGGGAGGCCAAGCCAGGTGGATCACCTGAAGTCAGGAGTTCAAGACCAGCCTGGCCACCATGGTAAAACCCCATCTCTACTAAAAATACAAAATTAGCCGGGCATGGTGGCATGCACCTGTAATCCCAGCTATTTGGGAAGCTGAGGCAGGAAAATTGCTTGAACTCGGGAGGCAGAAGTTGCAGTGAGCCAAGATCATGCCACTGTACTCCAGCCTGGGCAACAAGAGCAAAACAAAAACAACAACAACAACAACAAAAATTACCAGAATGTGAGTACCTGTACTGTATTCCCTTTTTCCTCACCCCTCACAAGTAAATGAGACAAGTTGCCATATGATCCAGAAATCCCACGACTGGGTATATACTCAAAAGAAAGGAAATCAGTATATTGAGGAAAAATCTGCACTTCCTCTGTTTGTTACAGCACTGTTTACAATAGCTAAGATTTGGAAGCAATCTAAATGTCTACCAACAGATGAATGGATAAAGAAAGTATAGTATATACACACAATGGAATATTATTCAGCCATAAAAAAGAATGAGATCCAGTCATTTGCAACAACATGGATGGAACGAGAGATCATTATGTTAAGTGAAAAAAGCCAGGCACAGAAAGACAAACTTAGCATGTTCTCACTTATCTGTGGGATTCAAAAATCAAACCTACTGAACTCATGGACACAGAGAGTAGGAGGATGGCTACCAAAGGCTGGGAAGGGTAGTAGGGGGCTGGAGGGGAGGTGGGGATGGTTAATGGGTACAAAAAAAGTAGTTAGAATAAATAAGATCTACTATTTGATAGCACAACAGAGTGACTATAGTCAATAATAACTGTACATTTTAAAATAAAGAGTATAACTGGAGTGTTTGTTGTAATGGATAAATGCTTGAGTGGATGGATACCCCATTCTTCATGATGTGTTTATTTTACATGTCTGTATCAAAACATCTCATGTACCCCATACATATACACACCTATGTACCCACAAAAAAATTAAAAATTAAAAAAAAATTACAGGACTATGCAGTCAAAAAAAGTGGATGAGACAAATGAGAACAAAATAAAACTGTTCACTGTATAATAATTAGATAAATAGAAAAACCCAAGTAATACAAATCCACAGAAGTCCCACTAATAATCACTATTAACAGTCTGGTTATATGACCCCAGACTCTCTCCTATGCCCAAGTATACAGAGTATATTGTACACATACATATAGAAATAAATCTATATATATATATATATATATATACATACATACAATCTATTTATAATGTACTATGATAGTATTCATAGTATTTTGCTGTCTCATTTTTTTTACTTATTAATTATATTGAAAACCTCCTTTAACATCAATAGATGTATCAACATCATAACATTTGAGGACTGAAAGAGTATTACATTGAAGGAATGAACCAATACATATTTATTTGTTGAATTTACAGAGTCTACCAAAGTGTCCCAAGTTTATAAGAAGTGACTACATATTGTGGTAGCATGTGGTTCTTTTTCTTCTACATTTTTCAAGATTGAGAAAGGCAGGCTGAATAAATATAAAAAGCCTTAACAGCAAAAAGTTGTTTTGGTTTGAGTGGGTGTAGCATAGAAGAACACAAACTAACACATATACCACAGGGAATAGAATCACACATTAGAATATTCAGTAGGTGGCCGGACGCGGTGGCTCACGCCTGTAATCCCAGCACTTTGGGAGGCCAAGGCGGGTGGATTACCTGAGGTCAGGAGGTCAAGACCAGCCTGGCCAAAATGGTGAAACCCTGTCTCTACTAAAAATACAAAAATTAGCTGGGCTTGGTGGCAGGTGCCTGTAATCCCAGCTACTCGGGAGGCTGAGGCAGGAGGATCACTTGAACCCGGGAGGTGGAAGCTGCAGTGAGTCGAGAATGCACCACTGCACTCCAGCCTGGGCAACAAGAGCAAAACTTCATCTCAAAAAAAAAAAAAAAAGAATATTCAGTGGGTGTTCAACATATCGAAAAAGGACTCAATTTTAAAGACTCGGGATAATGGGTGAATAGGGATGGCTAGATCAAGTATTAAATCGCTAAGTCTGAAGTCAAGCAAATGTCCTTGTTTCAGCCCAATCATGGTAGAGTTACTTAATGATACAGAGGAAAGTTAACTGAAAAAACTGTATGATCTTGAGTGATCCTAGAAATTAAATCACTATTTGAAGGTGAAAACCTAAAAAAAAAAAAAAAAAATCAGGACTTACCATATTTCTTTAGAAGGTATCAAAAATTAAAATATTCATTCAGTGTTAATATTTCTAATCTAAGTTCCTTCTCAAAGAGAATGGTTGGTTTGGTAAAAATATATGTGATAGGATTTGCTGAAGTCACATGACACATCCTTGCCCTCAATTAAGGGTGCCATACCTCCCCCCGCGACTAGTGACATTCCAGGAAAATCTCACTTTTGAGGGGAGGCTGGGGAAGTGAGCATATCCCCGCAATGGGCAGAGTGTGTGGAAATCGTGTCTCCAGCCATGGAGACACGAATGCAGTTAACCTTTTCTAAGTATCCAACACTGCTCCATGAATCAGGCAGGAGATGGGGCTGGCAGAGAGCAGCAGAGGGAGAAAGAACACATAGCAGCAGCAAAGAAATGCCAAAGGAGATAGATACTGGCTGCAAAATCCCAGCGAGATCAAAGGCGGAGATGCAAAGTAGAGCAACACAGAGTCTGATCTGTGAAACCAAGGTCCATAACCAATGGCAGGTGACAGTCCCTTACAACAAATGCTCCCTAAATGCTTCATCCCTGGTCCAGCCGATGCAATTTTTAAGGGGAGTGGTAATTTGTGGTGGGGGTCATGCTCTTAGAAAAAACATGTCTATTACATTTTGACCATGTGAAATAGAATCAATGTTGGGAACTAAGAACACAGACCTTAAATGTCAGCAGTGGATGGAGTCAGAGAGAGCATTTCTTTGACAATTCACTCTAGGCATTTGCAATATCATGGAATATGAACTGAGCTACTTTTAACAAATCTCTTTTCATAGTACAATTCAGGACCTGGTGAGATGTTTCCAGATCTAACAATGCACTTCTTATAGGGACAGAGTTTTTGCTTTGCCCAACTCTCTCGTGGTCACCGCTTTTACATGAGTGAGCATTAGATGGTCAGGCTGTGTTGTGTGCTATACAATGGCTTTTTTACACCATCAAGACTAAATCTGCTGGGTGCTGTGGCTCATGCCTGTAATCCCAGCACTTTCGGAGGCCAAGGCAGGAAGATCACTTGAGGTCAGGAGTTCAAGACAAGCCTGGGCAACATGGCAAAACCCCGTCTCTACTAAAAATACAAAAATTAGCCAGGTGTCCTGGTGCACGCCTGTAATCCCAGCTACTCGGGAGGCTGAGGCAGCAGAATCTCTTTAACCCGGGAGGTGGAGGTTGCAGATAGCTGAGATCGCACCACTGCACTCCAACCTGGGCAACAGAGTGAGACTCCCTCTCAAAAAAAAAAAAAAAAAGAAAAACACTAAATCATACATTGCTTCCAAAGGTAGCTCCATATCCTCTGAAGGTATACATGGGAGGGCCCATAACATATCATGTATTCCAGATCTAGCCATAAAACCATGCGGTTTAGATTTTAACATCCAAATCCAATTGTGTGTCTCTGGTAAACATGACTTGCCCAGTAAAACCGTGCTGATACTACATGTTCCACAGTTACGTTATCATTATATTTTCGGACTAACTTTTGGAAATGTTGTCTTGTCGTTGTATTGTATCATCCTGAGTAAGTATTAAATTCCTTAATATTTGCCACAACCATTTGCTGAGTGGCTAATTTGTATGGACACATTTTTATCTATTATCTTTAATCCTGACAAAATCTCTGTAAAATAGGTTTTATTGGCCTCATTGTACAGATGAGGAAAATAAGGCTCAAGAAAAGTAACCTAACCAAGGTCACCAGTAAGTGACAAAGCTAGGTTTGTCTGGGTTTCACGGTCAAAGAGAAAAGATGAGCTCCCTGGCAACATGCACGAGAGATTAAAGTCTCAATACATAAGCATTCTGACAAACAAAAAATAAGCACTTGCAGCCGGGCACAGTGGCTCACACCTGTAATCTCAGCACTTTGGGAAGCCGAGGGAGGTGGATCACCTGAGGTCAGGAGTTCGAGACCAGCCTGGGCAACATGGTGAAACCCCATCTCTACTAAAAATACAGAAATTAGCTGGGCATGGCGGTGTGTGCCTGTAATCCCAGCTACTTGGGAGGCTGAGGCAGGAGAATTGCTTAAACCTGGGAGGTGGAGGTTGCAGTAAGCTGAGACTGTGCCACTGCACTCCAGCCTGGACAACACATCAAGACTCTGTCAAAAAAAAAAAAATCTTTGTCAGGGTTTTTTGTTTTTTTTTTTTTTTTGTGAAGATAGCAAGCGAGGATATGAGAACAAAAGTTACCCATGACATTCAGTGGAAAGTTGTGTATTAGTGCCCAACAGGTGCCAGGCAAGCGTTCTTCAGGCAGCACAGCGGGACCAAAGTGCTGACAGTGGCAACGACACAAAATGTAGCCTTGGCAAGTCAGTCTAACAATTACTTTGCATCATTCTGATTATGAGCCACAAGCATGCAATCAACAGCATAGAGACAGTCTTAAATGATCTCCATCAGCATTTTACTTTAGTTATCAAAGTGTGGCAGATTGAACACCCGCTCATCTGACCTAAGCGCAATGTTAATAACCCAAACACAAAGAATGTGCAGGAATAATAATGGCTCAAGAGCACTGGCCTTGCTGGGGGCCATTGGTTATAACAGATGTATTTTATTTTATCCAACTTTTTTCATTTATTACCTCAGAGTAGATACATATTATTATGTGTTTCTCGTCGGATAAATTTATCCACAGTCTAACACAATTTAAATTGAGTTAGGACTTAAGTGAGTTTCCAAATTCCCTAAACTTACTATGGCATGATGTACATGTCTCTATGAGGAGCACTTTTCACACTCCATGGTAAATTTTTGTCGTACTCATCTTCTCCACTAAATTGTGACCCAGCTCTGATAGCCTGGATTTTACATCATTTATCTCTGTGTAGCAGACATTCAAAATATGCAGAAATGAATGAATCCTCAGAGAATCATAAATAAAAGGCATGCTTATTGAGTCCGTGAATGTCCCCAAGTTGGAGAAGTCACCAGCATTTCAAAGAGCAACATCTGAATTCCAAAATTTGTCTAAAATTGAAAAGATGATTATAAATCTATACCATGAAATTTGGTAGATATCTGTTCTTAAGGAATTAAAACATATAAATATAAAAATAAGGAAATACTCCTCTGATATTGGCTGAAGAAAATCATTTTCAAGGAGACTCTTACCAAAGCTCTATTTTCAACATTAAAGCTTAAAATGTAAGGGGCAGAGAGTATTTTGAGAATGGTTTTCAAGGAAAGTAATTAAAATCAACGTAGGTTGTAGAACCAGATCCAGAAGAGAAATACTGATTGCTATATTTCAGGGGTGAAAAAAGGTCAAATTGTCAAAAAGTAAAGAAAAGGGCCTGAAAGTTTTCAATACTGTATCAATGCCCATCACTTCACTCAAAAAGTTAGTGAAGCAGTACGATTCCATGGAAGGGTTAAGGGTTCATTTTCCTTTTAGATAAATATTGTATCTGGAGCAAAAGGTAACCTCTTAGCAGATTCATCCATTGTCGGAATCTTATTTGGACTGTACAAAACGACTACCCCATCGTTTTACTTAAGAGAACATCTACACTGGAATCTACTGGAGGGTGGAGGTGGGAGGACAAAGAAGATCGGGAAAAATAACTAATGGTTACTAGGCTTAGTACCTGGTGACAAAATAATCTGTAAAACAAACCCCCATGACACAAGTTTACCTATATAACGAACCTGCACACGTACATCTGAACTTAAAATATAAGTTAAATGAATAAAAAAAGAAAACATCCACACATAGAAGTCAATCAGGTTTTATGATTTCCTGGGTGTCTGTGTTCACGGGTGGGTATGCGTGTGTGTGTATGTGTAGCATTTCTTTCCCATTATCTCAATGCTTATTATACATAATTTTTTAAGTCAATGCTTAATACTCTTCAACTGCCAAAACATACCATATAAACTCTTCAAAGACAGTGTCCATACACCTTAATAAGTCCTCTAACAGCTAGCATAAGTTTACTGTATACATGGTCAAGGTATTGAAGAGAATTTGTACAAAACAATCAGCACATCCACAGTATCTCAAAATTCCCAAATTGGCAATCACTGCCTTAGCAAAGCTGCATCTCTGACCTGGAGATAGAGGGGAAGAGAAGCAGGAAACCATCTTTAGGGTGCCAGGCAGCAAGTTGCCTGTGGTCTACGTTTCGGGGCAGGTCCCTCTTCCATAACTCCTCTCACCACAGCTAAAGATCAGAGCTACTTCACCAAAGTTTAGTACGAATAGGAAATATCACAGAGGAAAGGCAGAATTCAGATTCTGTGACTTTAAAAAGTGCAACCCAGGCAGGACGCAGTGGCTCACACCTGTAATCCTAACACTTTGGGAGGCCGAGGCCAGTGGATCACCTGAGGTCAGAAGTTCAAGACCAGCCTGGCCAACATGGCGAAACCCTGTCTCTACTAAATATACAAAAATGAGCTGGGCGTGGTGGCAGACACCTGTAATCTCAGCTACTCAGGAGGCTGAGGCAGGAGAATTGCTTGAACCTGGGATGTGGAGGTTGCAGTGAGCCGAGATCATGCCATTGCACTCCAGCCTGGGAAACAAGAGCGAAACTGTGTCTCAAAAAAAAAAAAAAAAAAAGTGCTACCCATGTTAGAAACCTTTTGGTCACATCTGGTAACAGCCCCAGTGGTGCTAAGGACATGAAAGCCATTGCCCCAATCAAAAAACAAAGGCAAAGAACACAGCTCTGGACACAAAATTGGAATTCAGTAAATACTTAAAAGCAGTAATGTAACAGGGGTCTATCTTATTCAGTAAATACTTAAAACAGTAATATCTACTACATAAGCTTTATTGTTTTCAAAGTGAATAGCTTGCAGTCAACATCACTACATTATATATACGGTTCTAAAAATAGTATTTCTTAAACACCTAGAACAGCCAAAGGTTGGCAAACTTTTTCTATAAAGGACCAGGGAGCAAATGCTTTAGGCTGTGTGGGCCAGACATCTCCATTGCAACTACTCAATCTGTCATTGTCGTGCAAAAGCAGCAATTGAAGATACTCATACAAACAGGCATGTCGGTGTTCCAATAAAACTTAATTTACAGAAACAGGCTGGGGTGATATTTGGCCCATGGTCCAGTTTGTCAATACCTGGTCTAGAATATTATTACACTGAAAAATTATAAGATGGACTCTCAACTTCCTTCCTTTCCTCTAAAGAGATTATTTTTCTTAGTGAAAAGTTAGATGACAATGTCACACAGTAGCCAAAAGCAGTCGGTGGTATATTCTGCAGCATCCACCACTGAACCTCGTCCATGATAAGCAGATATGGGCAAATCTGAGAATTCCAGGTGCAGTTTTCCAGTGGTAAGTCTCTACATATTCATCTCTGCATTACATATGTGCAAAGGGAACAGGCTGCCCCATGGAACCCCAGATAAATGCTAAATAGCCTCTTGAAGTAGTGTACTATCTAGGCATGCAAGAAGACTCTTGAGCAACAACAAAAAACAAATACCTTGATTAAAAAATGGGCAAAGGACTTGAATTGACATTTCTTCAAAGAAAATATGCAAATGACCATTAAGCACACGAAAAGACACTCAACATCACTAATCATTAGGAAAATGCAAATCAAAACCACAATGACATACCATTTCACTCACATTAAGATGGCTCTGATTAACAACAAAAAAAACAACCCCCAAAACAAGAAAATAACAAATGTTGGCAAGGATGTGGACAAATTGGAACTCTGTGTACATTACTGATAGAAATGCAAAATGGTACAGCTGCTGTGAAAAATACCATGATGGTTCCTCAAAAAATTTAAAAAATACTACATGATTCACCAATTCCACTTCTAGGTATATACCCAAAAAAACTGAAAGGAGGCACTTGAACAGATATTTGTATACCAGTGTTCATAGCCACATAATTCACAATAACCTAAAGTGGAAGCAACCTAAGTGTCCATCAATGGATGAATAGATACAAAATGTGATACATATGTGCAATATTATTCAGCCCTAAAGAGGAAGGAGATTCTGACACATGCTACAACATGGATATGCAGTTTTGCTTTGGGAAGATGAAAACGTTCTGAAGATGGATCGTGGTGATGACTGCAATATAATGTGAATGTACTTAATGCCACTGAACTGTACACTTAAAAATGGGAAAAATGATGAATTTTATCACAATAAAAAGAAGAAGAAGAAGAAGACCCCTGTGATCACTTGACCTTATAAGGGAGCTTTTCAGGTGATCTGTTTGGATCAAGATATCCCAAGAAGTTTCAAATGAGAGTTGAAACTTGAGAGGGTTGGTTTATGGGAGGCAGCTGATGAACTGTGACCTCGTTTGAGTGTTCCAGGAAATCGGCTTCCACATCTAGGAATCACTTGGACTAAAAAAGAATGTGAGAGCTCCTTTGATTCAGAGTGAGCTCTCACATGAGATTTGTAATATGGCCAGAATGCTTGCAATATCCTTTTCTGAGTTTTACAACCTCAGAGACCCAATTTGGCAGTGGATCAGGAGTAAAGTCACTAATAGGAACAAAAGCTAGGAAAATTTACCATACCTGATGGAGGGACATAGGAAAGGGCAAAGAGGTAAAAGAAATCCCTGTAATTAAGGCAAAGCCAACCTATCTTTCAGGATCACAGTGAAAACTCACAATCTCCAGTTATGAGTAAGAGAAGTCTTCTTCTTTCCCTAACCATTCTCCTTCGTCACGCATATAACTGCTTTTAGGTGACTCGTTTGAAATGTAAGCTGCTCTGAGTCTAATTCGGCATAACACTTAACACCATATACCATGCACAAGAGGTGACTTCATGGAAACTGTCCCTATTTGCATAGCACTATTCCCTGGATTACTCAGGTATCATCCTTGCAAAAGTCAAACTGATACAGGGTTGCATTGCCTACTACAAGCAGAATAACGTTGAGTCATGGTTTCTCAGCTGAAAGAAAATGATATCGTTTTTTCCTATATTCTTGGTAAGAATCAGAAGATACCTCCAAGCCAGCCCAACCATAAATCCTATGACCACATATATATGACACTGATGACTACCTTCAGGTGACAACAGGTTTCCCCATGCTGCCAAAATAAAGTAGAAGGCTGGGTAATGGTTTAGTACATTTGAATCATGCACTTTTCCAACTCAGTTATTGAGAATGGCCATTAGAGGGTCCCAAATAACCCAGTTAACCAAAAAATTTTCTGACCGTTAAGAGTTTTAACCAATATGCAGTAAAATGCAGTTTTCAATCAGGGGCACACATCTCTACTGTAACCATTTTTTGACAGTTTTGTTAGAGAATTCAAAGCACCAAATAAAAATGTGTACCTGAAAAAGACTACTAGAGGAAAAAAAAATAAATTCAGGGTAAGGGTACATACTAGATATTTAGACAGCTGAAGCCAGTGGTGTGTGCAGAAATGTTTAATAAAAGTGGGAGGGGAGAGAGGACCCCTGATGTGTAGCATTTGCAGACTTCTGTAGTGTAAACACTCCCACCATGGCCAATTTCAAGGTAATAACATGATGTCAACATGCTCCCCAAATTTCTGAACATTTAACACTTGGCTCATAAAAGTGCAAGCTGGCTCCACTACACCACTGGTCCATTTCCTCATCCCACCAAGATCAGTAAACCCTACTTCCTACCTAAAATAAACCCAAGAAGCAAAGTCCTTCATTATTTTCGGCTTTCTTCTTATCCATAGATATTTAAGAGACTATCTGTTCCCACTTCCATGTCTTTGCTTCTAGCCTCCTCATCTGGAATAAACCTTCCTAAGTCTGCTCTTGTATAAACAGCTTTCTTTGAATGCTCTTAGGCTAGGTCGCACCAGCCCTTCTGTATTCTGATTTTCTACAGCACTTCTCTGTTACTGTCCTGTCATTTGATTCTAGAGGGCAGGGGTCTGTGAGGGCAGGGCATCTGCCCACAGGAATAAGCACAGCACCAAGTCTGACTTGGATTGAGCTGAATAAATGAAATCTGTTGAGTTGACTGGCTGGGCTGCCTTCTGTCTAGTCTGCCACAGTGAGCTAGGCTCCTCCTGAAGTGAACTAGGATCAGTGAGGGACTAAAGTCAATCTGTAGCATGAAGATTTCACAGGGCACTCACTACTGCACACACCAAACTCCCACAAAAGGAAGAGGGGGAGCTAATATGTGTTGGGCATAAAATTTCTGCAAGCCCCAGCACCCAGAACTTAGTTCCTAACACCATTCTCCAATAAAACAAACCAGGGGTCTTTGGAGAAATGGCTGATTCTAGTACTGTGACAGGGAATATCCAAGATGAGCATGGAGCATCTTGTAGTATCAGAAAGTGGGAAAATGCTAAATAGATAAATCAATACCCCACAGTGATGGGGGCATATAAAAGGGGGACAAGAGACAATATTCCTAATATTTCTCAAAGAGCTGCCAATGGCCAGAACTAAAACAACCAGAGCAACAAAATAAACAACATAGTACTGGATTAGAACCTAAAGAATAAAATAAACACCCATGAGTTCATATTGATATAAATAAATTTTAAAAGAGGAAGAAAACACGCATCTCTTGAGCAAAGGAGTTCTAAATAATTCATGCAGATGTTCTGCCCTTGTAAAGGTAGAGCGTAACTGCCCACCCCTTAAGTGTGGGCTGTGCACAGTGACTTCCTTCCAACGAGTAGTACAGTATGGAAAAGGGTGTGTGTGAGTGTGTCTGTGTACAAAGAGTAACTTTAAAGTTGACAAACCCTGACACAACCTCGGCTGAGGTCATCAAGATCAACAGCCCATGATAGGTCACATATGATGTGATAAAAGTGACAATCTGCCAATTTTAAGGAGTACAGACTAATCATTTTGTGGACTGTCCCTCAATTTGGGTTTTTCTGGCCAGGCATGGTTGGCTCACGCCTGTAATCCCAGCACTTTGTGGGGCCAAAGAGGGTGGATCACTTGAGCCCAGAAGTTTGACACCAGCCTGGCAAAACCCTGACTCTACCAAAAAAAAACCAAAAACCAAAAACCAAATTAGCTGGATGTGGTAGCCTATGCCTGTAGTCCCAGCTACTCAGGGGGCTAAGATGGGAGGATTGCTTAAGCCCCGAAGGTCCAGTCTGCAGTGAGCTGAGATCGTACCACTGCACTCCAACCTGGGCGACAGAGTGAGACCCTGTCTCAACAATAATAATAATAATAGTAATAATAAAATAAAATAAAATTTACCTAAAAGCAAGAACTAAAGCCAATATTTTATTTTGATTGAGTAATGATACACAATAACTAGTCTTGAAGGGCATCAACTAAAACATGATGGACTGCAGGATGGACAGATGGCTTGATACCTGACAAAGCAAATATAGCAAAATATTATTTGCAAAATCTAGGTGGCAAGTTTATGGGTGTTCACTGTACAATTCTTACAATTTACTTGTATGTTTGCAATTTTTCCTAATAAAATGTTGGGGGGAAAGTCTCTCGTGAACAACTCTGCCCAGTCATAGAAGAGTTTCCCAGGAAAGATTTATTTAGCCCAAATATGCATGTATCTGACTTTTGGGGGACATCTCATTTAACAAAAATTAGGCTTCTGATTTCTCCTTTTAACCTCTTTTACAGAAAACTGCCCCCCTTAGCAGTGAAAGGCAGCACTTTTGCCAATGTGCTATTGCAATGTGCTACTGCAATGTGCAATGCAATTAGGCTATTAAATAATAGACAAAAGGCCAATGTTTATTAATTAGCAAAAAGCCATATAGGATATGAGCTCTAGACTCTGCAGAGCTTTATATTCCACATGGACCCTCCAATCATTTTTGTGGCTTGGATGGATTTCAGCACTGGTACTTATCATGGTCAAAGATACATCATTATTGCTCTAGTCAATACACATTTTCATTAAATAGCACATTTATAACACATGTATTTATTTTACAATTTCCATAAACTTGGTTATTTACTCATTCTACCTTCAACTCTTACTTGGCCTTAGGAAATGTAAAATCTTTTTTTTTTTTTTGATAAGAGGTTTTTCTTGAAATAGGAGTTAATTAAAAGATTTAAGGAAAACGTACCTCTTGTGATTCAAACATGAGATTATTATTATCTTTTATAAAAGGTAAAATCTATTTCAGAGCATTTTAAGTGTGCATCAACCGTCCCTGAATTCCGATGCTTGACAAATTCATTAGCAATAACAAATGTTAAACCTGTCTAGAGTATTTCCTTGCTATTCTACGCAGCAAATCAATGGCCTCGCCAACCGCCACAGGATAAAAGTGTGTGTATTCTGCCAACGTGATGCCACCGACAGGGAGAGCCAACTCTGCTCACCCTCCGAGAAGGACTCTAGTGCATAAGTGGCTGCCTATGTATTGGGATGTTCTGGCCGGGCGCGGTGGCTCACGCATGTAATCCCAGCACTTTGGGAGGCTGGGGCAGATGGATCACCTGAGGTCAAGAGTTCAAGATGGGCTTGGTCAGCACAGTGAAACACTGTCACTACTAAAAAGACGCAAAATTAGCTGGACGTGGTGGCAGGTGCCTGTAATCCCTGCTAGTCGGCAGGCTGGGGCAGGAGAATCGCTTGAACCCAGGAGGTAGAGGTTGCAGTGAGCCGAGACTGCACCACTGCACTCCAGTCTGGGCAACAAGAGTGAAACTCTGTCTCAAAAAAAAGAAAAAAAGAAAAAAAGAAAAAAAAAAAGAAATGATGTTCTAACTGAAATACAACCATGATACAGGCAAAAACAGACTTCGATTTGGAAGCTAAAAAAGGTGTCTTGGCCAGGTGCGGTGGCTCACACCTGTAATACCAGCACTTTGGGAGGCCAAGGTGGGCGGATCACCTGAGGTCAGGAGTTTGAGACCAGCCTGGCCATCATGGTGATACCCCATCTCTACTAAAAATACAAAAATTAGCCAGGCATGGTGGCAGATGCCTGTAATCTCAGCTACTTGGGAGGTCAAAGCAGGAGAATCACTTAAACCCAGGTCAGCTTGCTGGCAACTTCCCAGATTAGTGCACTTGATGAAACCCCTTGTAATAATTAAATTCCTTCCACCGGCACAAGAAATATGTCCACTGAAAATAGGAATTTCCTTTCTCTCTTTGCCCTCAAGACCTTCACCACCCAGGACAGTGAGAGGCTATAAGTGTTAAGGGCACCGGGGCAGAGCCAATATCTGGGTTTAAATGACCTTGGGCAAATCACTTAACCTCACTGTTTTCAGATATAAAATTTACATAACAAAAGTTGTGAGGATTAAAGGGTTAATATAGCACAAAGCACTTAGAGCAGTATTATAGGTGTTTGCTTTTATTGACCAACATACAAAGAGCTGACTGTTATTCAATGATTCCAAAATAATTGTTCTTTTTATTTTTTTAATCTTTTTTTTGTTTTTAATTATACTTTAAGTTTTAGGGTACATGTGCACAACATGCAGGTTTGTTACATATGTATAGATGTGCCAGGTTGGCGTGCTGCACCCATTAACTTGTCATTTAACATTAGGTATATCTCCTAATGCTATCCTTCCCCCCTCCCCCCACCCCACAACAGGCCCCGGTGTGTGATGTTCCCCTTCCTGTGTCCATGTGTTCTCATTGTTCAATTCCCACCTATGAGTGAGAACATGGGGTGTTTGGTTTTTTGTCCTTGCGATTGAGATAGTCTCGCTCTGTCACCCAGGATGGAGTGCAATGGCACTATCTCGGCTCACTGCAACCTACGCCTCCCAGGTTCAAGCAATCCTCTCGCCTCAGCCTCCCAAGTAGCTGGGACTACAGGCATGAGCCACCACACCTGGCTAATTCTTGTTTTTTCAGTAGAGACAGGGTTTCACCATGTTGTCCAGGATGGTCTCGAACTCCTGACCTCAGGTGATCCACCTGCCTCGGCCTCCCAAAGTGCTGGGATTACAGGCATGAGTCACTGCGCCCAGCCCAAAATAACTATTCTAACCTATCCTCTCCTCACTACTTACCCCCACTATCCTTCACCTGCCAACCCACTCTAAGTCTGTTCATTTAGACTTCTACCCATTCCCATGCAGAAAGGACCAGTTCAGCAACAGCAGGGATGCTGGCAGGTAGGTTTTAGAAACTCTTAATCACAGGGCTAATGTGTTGATCCAGCTTAAATGTATAGCTAATGATTCATTCCACTTTTCATTTTATAACAAGGGTTTTTTTGCATGCAGATTTTATCATGACGCTTGCTTTCTCTCTTCTCTTGTATCAAGCATCTTTTCATCTTCAGCTCTGTCCCACCCCACTGCTGAATTTTTTAAAAAAGAAAAAAGAAACCCAGCCAACTAGCTCAGAGGCCTATGTATTTTGCTCTGAACTTCACACTGACGATATTATACACAGTCATGGCAGTGACTGTATTATACACGGTCATGGAAGTTATGGAGAATTGGAATCTAATGAAAAGAGATAAGAGAGGAGCAGAGAGATAAAGGAACCCTTGAAAATCAGCCCCAATATCTCACCCAGATATGGGTGGCCTCAGAGCTTATTGATATAGACTGTGTCTCTCACCAAAGGGCATGCCATTTGCTTGCCATCATTTCTTTAAAACTATTAGTCACTCTCACACCGATTTACCTTTAAACAAGGACATTCTATAACCAGGGATCCACCTCTGTGGCTTAGTCATCGGATCAGCCTCAAGGTCACCGACTAGAGTAACCTGATGACAATTACCTCATTCACCCACTATAGAACAGTTCTATCACCGATCAATACAGGACACCTCTGCACAACATCAACAAAGCCTTCTCAAGGGGGCACCCTGCATGCATCAGAAACAAATTACACCCTTAGAGGCAGATGACACACCGAAGGCAGAAAGATCCTCTCTGCAAAGCAAAGCCTTTGTTTAAGTCTGAGAGGAGTGCCAATCCAACCTCAAAAAAAGGAGAAAAGGAGAGGAAAGAGGATCCATGCCACAGAAACAGAGTACTGTTCGGAACTCTTTTCTTGACATGATGTTTCCCTTGCCTTTCCGCTCGAACACGGGATGCATCTTCTGGGGAAGAGAAAACTGGAAGTGCAATGACAGGGGACTGCAATGCTGAGAATCAAGAAACAGAATTTCACAGTGCATTGGTGAAATCACCAATAATAAACATTATAGAGTGCTTACTCTGTGTCAGTCTCTTAATTATTATTATAATTATTTTTGGAGACGGAATCTTGTTCTGTCACCAGGCTGGAGTGCAGTAGCATGATCTCGGCTCAATGCAACCTCCGCCTCCTGGGTTCAAGTGATTCCCCTGCCTCAGCCTCCCAAGTAGCTGGGACTACAGGCGCGTGCCACCACGCCTGGCTAATTTTTTATATTTTTAGTAGAGACGGGTTTCACCATGTTGGCCAGGATGGTCTCGAACTCCTGACCTCAGGTGATCCACCCACCTCAGCCTCCCAGAGTGCTGGGATTACAGGCATGAGCCACTGCGCCCGGAACTGATTCAGCTCTCCCAACAGCCCAGTGAGATGAGTTCTATTATTATTCCCATTGTACAGATTGGAGTACTGAGGCACAAGAGGGTAGGTAAAGTGCCTGAAGTCACACTGATAAATGGCTGCAGTTGGGATTCAAAGCCAAGGAGTTAGGCTCTAGAGTCACTATATTAAACTGCCTGGTTAAGAACAGCAATATTACATAATGTTAGGTTTGTGTTGTGTTTTACAGTTTACAAAATATTTGCACATGCTTTTTCCCTCTGCTTGGAATGGCTGTCTCATGTATTTACTTATGAGTTCCTCTCCCAACAGAGCCTTCTACTGAAAGGTGTTCAATACCGTGTTCATAGAGTGAAGGTATGAATAACTGACTCTAATTAATCCTTAAATTGCTGTGGGAGACAGGCTGAGAATATATGACTAAACTTGTTTTGAAATAAGGAAAATGAGGTTTGGGAAAATCAAATGACTTGTCTAAGGTCATATTGCTTTGAATATGAGCTCATCGTAACTAAACCAGTGGTTTAAAAAAAATTTTTTTTAACCACAGGACCTTTCTAAGAAAACTATTTTACATAGCCTCAGAATATCACAGAGCTGAAGGAGAAGCTGCCCCGCTGCCCCGGTCAATAGAGGCTGAGGGCAGCCCACAGCCTCAAAGTTTATGGGGAGCCTCTGGGGCTTTGCAGAATGCAGGCTGGGGACTCACTACTGCACCACGCAACACTACTAGGACACCTGACCCAGCCCTGAAACTTTGAGAGAGGGTGACCAACCACACCTTCAAGTCTCACCCATTTACGACTCTGACCCATGGGGGAAGGCAGAGGATTAAGATTCTTTCTCCTTCCACCCCAGCAGAGGGACCTGTTCTTAGCTTCCCAGCTTGAGCGTCTCTTTCTGTTTCTTTCTTTGGAGCTCTTCTGTATTTGTTCCTTTTTCAGTCCCGAGGGCTGATCACTGGAAACAGGGCAACCTCTGGTGACCTGGTTTTTCATCACCAGCCAGGGCAGAAGAAGTCAAAGTGTGCTCAAGGGCTTTGCACGCTGCTCCCTAGAACTGGACGCCTTTGAGAAATCTGGGATTCTTCCAGGCGGCAGACTTCATTCCACAGTGGTGGAAAAGCTGGCCAGGGAGAGAGAGCAATTTTGCAAGGCACAGTGCCGCACTTGGACCTGTATCCTGACACCGCCAAATCAGAGGAGGCAGAAAGCCCTGAGTGTTACAGAACGTCTGAGCTAGAGGAGGCCTCTAAGAGCTTTCAGTCCAGTCTCCTCATTTAATGAACACGGAAATTGTATCCTGCTAACGTAAAGTGACTTGGTCAAAGCTACGCAGTGGCACAACTAAAACTCAGGATTTCTGACATCTTGCCCCTGAGCACCCAAAACTCAAAGGACAGAAAGTACAATGTGAACTACAGAAGTAACCAAAGGACTTTCTGGTGATGTCAAATGATGCAAGACAGCAAAATGCTCAAGTTGGGAATAAATTGATAGGTGTATCTATTAAAACCATCTCTTAAGGCCTTCTGGGGGAAAACGCCACCACCAAGAATTACTTGAAGGCTTGTCAAGTGCTTTAAGGCGCTATAAGGCAAGATGCAACACTGAGAGACATTAAAAAAAGATAACCTTTTCCCCACTGCCTGAGTTGCTCTTGAGTGCCTAGTGGGTGAACAGAGGAGGGAGAAGCGCCCAGGCTTCCAATGGGTTCTCTGCACAGCCACACGGTCATTAGCATCCACAATCTGCATTCACTCCAGATGAGATTTCATCACCGCATCCTATTTATTCATTCCTTAATATAAATCTAAATTGCGCTCTTCAAATAGCAGAGAGCACTATGCTTCAGTAAGGGGAAAGAGAAACGATCACATTAAGAGACGTGCTGCTGCATTTTCATCTTCTCCCTCCTATGTTACTTTGGTCTTGACAGCCTTAATTCACACAGTGCTCCCGGAGCCCTTCCCTGGCTCGTCCCAAGGATCAGCAAACACACGGCTATCTTAGTTTTTCACACTGGGGCTCTCTCTAGAGGGAAAGTATGTAGCTTTCCACATTCCCAACTACTTGGGAGCCCAAGGTGTTTGCAGCAGCCAAATACAACTAACGAGTAGGAAAAAGACACTAAGAAATGCCACAATTGTGTCTGACACATTCAAAAGACAGTTGTCCTCCCATCCATGGAGGATCTGTTCCAAGACCCCAGTGGACGCCTAAAACCATGAATAGTACCTTTATGTATATCTACTATGTTTTTTCCTATACATATACACCCATGATAGAGTTTAATTTATAAATAAGTCACAGTAAGAGATTAACAACAAAAACTAATAATAAAATAGAACAATCATAACATTATACTGTACTAAAAGTTATGTGAATGTGGTGTCTCTCTCTCTCTCTCAAAATATCTTATTGCATGGCACTCACCTGTTTTTGTACCACGCTTGACTGTGGGTAATTGAAACAGCAGAAAATGACACCGAAGATGGGGGGTGGGGGGAACTACTGTATCAACCTGGATAAGTTCACAGGGAACGGAACACATTCTTTCCAGAAGGTGATGCATAAAATCACAGCATGTCCACAAATGGCCTTTGGGAATGATGGGACATTTGAGTTTACAAAATGCGAGACAAGCAAAGCCCAGGGAGCTGAGCTCTGGCCTGGGTCCCGCTCATTCCTTCCCACCGTCCCGCAGCCACCACCACCTCTCATTCTGTGCGGGAGGGGACATGTGGCCCTAGCACCACCACTTTCCTTATAAAAAGTAATTTATGGTTCCCTTTCCCATGACAGGAAAACTGATAGAAGTTTACAGGCAAAAGTATTATTTCTAATTCTTTTCATTTGGGGATAAGACAAGTCTTTTCCCCCTCTGTGTGTATTTTTAAAATAGTAAAAATTTTAAATGAACATCCTTTATCGGCTTGCACATATGCTAAAGGCAGGGCACATAAGACTCTTACAGGAAAGTATGCCAAGAGAAAAAAGAATGATCAATTACATGTGAATTGAACTCCTAAATATGCCTTAAACCAGGGGATACGTGACCAATTTTATTCAGTAATTCTGTTTGCATGTGTTCTAACCACTACCATTTCAGCTATTTTCCTAAAAAAAAAAAAAAAAAAAAAGAGAGAGAGAGAGTTTAAGCATGCCTAGGGCTCAGAGGAATTTAGATGTTTTCAAGCATTACTACTTGATGCTTTTAGAGCTTCATGCTTGAGTTAAAGGCGAGCACTTAAAAATTAACTCTAACCTCTGGGTTTAGGGCTAGAAGCCAATGACTTCCCATAGGGTCACTAAAGATGCTATTTGTTGGCTAGATTTGTCCTGGGAGTACTCAAGGGTCTCGCAACAAAAGTAACAGGGTTGTCACTTCGAACCTAAAGACTCGATTGCAGCATGGGAAAACATAACAAAATATAATAATGTTATCAAGAATCCTTTTTTACTATCAAGTCTGAAGTACTGGAGATGATGAGAGGAACATCAGGGTATTGGACCATGAAGAGAAAATTCCAGTCCTGGGTGTGCCATCCTGAGCAAGTCATAGCTCTCCTCTGCACCTCAGTTTCCTAATCAGTAAAACAAGGGAGTTGGTGAATTTCTCAAGTCCCTCGCATGCTCCAGGTCTCCGATTCCACGCTCCTCGTCTTTCTCTTTGCCAGCAGGGACTGAGTGTGTGACGAAGGTTGTGCCTTTGACCTCAGAGGAATGTGACAACGGCCTTCCTTGCATTGTTCCCACAGTAACCAGAGCCAGCTGTCCAGGCCGGCTGGCCAAGTTGTGGCGCAGGATCACACACAAGTTGGGGCTCTGCTTGGGGGACTCCGCCTCAAGGCCTCCCCCTTCCTCTAGGTCTTTATCCGCAGGTCGGGACCCTCCTAAGAACACAAGAATGAGCCTGCAATCCTTCCTAAATAACTTTTGGGGGCTTAAAATCCTGGGTGTAGCTACAATCATGTGAAACTCCCCCTAATGACAGCTAGAGGATTTGGGTGTGTATTCAATTCTCTGAGTCTATGACCCTACATCTGGGATGCTGTGGGGTGCTTGCAACCTATAGACAGCAGGTGTTTTCCAGGCGCGTTGGCGTGTTATGGCACTGGGATTCAAGTGAGGATGAACATCTAAGATGAGAGCTGGAGTGAGCCACGATTTGTAACCATGCAGATGTGAGCAGCAGCGACCATGCAGGCTTTCCTCCTTGCCTGCAGCTTGCATCTGAGATCCTAATAAGGGAGGATCACTGGAAAGTATTACCATTATTTTTAGCTTTTCTAAGGGAGGGAGGAGTTTTCGAAAGGACAAAATGGAAAGGAATTTAGGGCAAGGGTGTGTGTAGGTGGGGAGGTGGTGTGGAAGGAGGCGAGAAGATGAGTAGAAATAAGACTTTCAGGACAGATAAGCAGCTTCCTTCTCCTTCCTTAATAGATGATCACAGCCAGGCTTCCAGGGTTATAAAACAACACCAAGGTCTTCAGGTCCAGGTATGTAGAGACAAAGGAGTCTTCGCAAGGAAACCATTTTTCTAAGAGCATGGCAAATACGCATTCCATGTTGTGGGATTTTTTTTCAACTTCCTTTCTTGAAACATAGCTGATGAGGCCACTAATAGAAGCTTCTTGGAAAAGAGTTTCATAATTCACGTTTGATTTGAAGGCAGCTTTAACTTTCTTATTACCCCCCAAAATGTCCTCTTTGGTCTTACAGCGATCATGAATGTTCCAGATTAATAGGAGATGAATGAATTCTCCTTAAATGACCTTAATATGTTCAAGTAGCAAAGTGGAGGTTTGAGTCCAGTGACTTCTGGGGAGACAGTTGTATGGGCTAAGAACACATAACATTTTGAGGAAGGATTTCTTGTCTTTTTTTTTTTTGGCAATAGAAAGTAAAAAGTTTCCTGAGCTGAAAAGGCCACAGCATGTATTCTTCAATTCAGGGTCCTGGTAATCACTGGAACCACAAGTTCAAATGCCATCTAGACCATAAGGACTCTTATAAAACACAAACCACTTCATCATCAACAAACCTATTTGCCTACTAGAACTTTTAAAGCAAGGCTGCAAACTATTCAAGTAAACAACCTTGTGGGGTGGTTGACATGGACCGAGAGCTAACAAGAGAACACTGGAATTAGCTTCTCAGTTTCAAAATAGGACCTAAAGGAGTTTGCGCTATAGGAGAAGAGTTGCTGCATTTTGTTTAATGGAACTAAATTTGTGCCCATTTAAATCATGAGCAGGTGGCACTTGGTAGCAAAGAAAGCCTGAAAATATTCACATTTAGTGAATGCAGTTGTATGTATAATTAGCTGAGATTTATTTTAAAGTACTCTAATCTTTTGTACTCTTTTCTACAATTCAAACTGGTGAGAAATAGAGAGCAGCTTTTGAATTTATTATGAAAGCACAGCTATCGTATTAGCTGTTAAGAAATAAAAAATGGGGAGGGTGTCGGAAAAGTCTCTAATAATATGTACATTAGGAACAGACCAAAGCAAAGGGCTTTCTTTCCTTCAGAGTAGTGAGTCTGCTGCTGTTCCTGAGAAATGAGTGAGCTGCACAGGACCAGCCAGTAGGAGGGCGATGGGAAGAATCAAGGTGTGCATTTTAGAAGCAGAAGGTTTTTTCATGGAAAATTCCAAACATGTACCAAAGACTCACAATAGAACACCAAATATCCATTACTCAGCATCAACAGTGACAAACCATGGCTGATTGTGTCTTCAAGCAAATCCCAGAACTGTAATTTCATCCCTAAGTATTTCATTAGGAACCATAGAATTTTTTAAGCTCCCTCATTTTCCTGAGGTCCTCAAAAGTCAAATGACCCAGGGCCATCATGTCCAACTGTGATGAGGCAGGGCTGGAGCCCAGTCTTGTCACCTGGGGCCAGGTGTGCTCTCCTTCAAGCCCCACCCCCAACTCCCATCTCTCTTGTACTTACCACTCCCTTCAGACGTTTTTAACTGGACCCTGAGCCATAAAATTAACACAGAAAATGAGCATGACATTGGCTAGAAATCAGAAAATCCTGAATTTTAATCTCAGCTTTGCCATTTTTCTGAGCCTTAATTGTCCCAACTATAAGTAGAGATATGAAATTGCTACTACAAGATATAATTACTTCTGACATACTTATAAAAAGGGTTGACTTTCAACTTGTAACAGTTATGTTTAAGGTATTTTCATGGAGTTTCGTAAAAGCTGTTAGAAGCCATAAAGCTTAGACTATGAGATGACTTCCGTGAGGTGAGATCTCCTATGTTAATGAGTGGTGGGGAGGCATACATAGTTATTATGTAACTGTACCCTGAGAGTATTGCCACGACAAGTTTATTTATTTTTCACATAAAAATTAGAACCAACTATTTCAACATGCTGAAATGGAAGTTTCTATGAAAAACAAATGTTTCATATAATATAAATCAACATTTCCCAAGGAGGAAAAAGGCAGGCCCTCCCCTTGGGGAAGTTCTAGCATCTTTCAGAGAAAGAACAGGCAAGCCCAAGGAAAGTGGGAAAAGGGAAAAGAAACATTCCCTCTCTTTGTTGTGGACTTGCCAAATCCCTGACCGAAGTGGACTTACAACAGAACTGCAAATATTCTCACGAAAGTGTCCAAGCCTGGAAAAATAAGAAGCAAATAAAAGGTTTTGCCTAACAGACGGAAATATACTGTTCAATTGCACTCCTTTTCCTTCCAAATGCACATAAAGATACAGTATTTGGGGAGGTGATGGCAATGAGACAATTAGAATGTTTCAGAAATCCCATTCTAAACCAACCCCAAACCCTGAGATTTGGCTTTCAATGCACCTGCTTTCAAAAGTCAAACCAGAGGAAATCTTGTCATTTTTAACATCCACCGCCAGCAAATGCCTACCATGTGGAGTCTCACCACAAGACCCAAGCTGTGCACCAGGCGTCAGAGAGAAGCGGTGGTGTGTGTGGATGGTCTACCTGCCTGTGTTAGTTTCCTGGGGTTGCAATAACACAGTACCACAGACTGGGGGGCTTCAACAATAGAAATGCATTGTCTTACAGTCCTGGAGGCTAGAAATCCGAGATCAAGGTGTCTGCAGGGCTGGTTCCTTCCAGGAGGTGCAAAGGAGAATCTGTTCCATGCCCCTCTCCCAGCTTCTGGTGGCTTTCCGGATATCTTTGGTGTTTCTTGGCTTTGGGCAGCATAACTCCAGTCTTTACACGGTAATAGCCTCAGAGGGAGGCTATCTCTGAGCCCAAGTTTCCCCTTTTTACAAGGAGATGAGTCATATCAGATTAGAGCCCACTCTAATAACCTCATCTGAACTTGGTCATATGCAAAATCTCCTTCCAAATAAAGCCATTGTTCATGGACACTGGGAGGTTTAGCCTGTCAACATTTTGGTGGGGGACACAGTTTAACACAGATACCTCCTCATCCTCACCTACAGGCATGTGTTGGGTAGCGGTGGGCTATGCTCTGAGAAATGCATCTTCACGTGATTCTGTTGTGTGAACATCGTAGAGTCTACTCACACAAACCTAGATGGGACAGCCTACTACACATCTAGGCTACATGGTACAATGTATTGCTTCCCGGCTACAAACCTACACTGCATGATACTGTACTGAATACTGCAGGCAAATGTATTACAATGGTAAGTATTTGTGCATTCAAACATACCTAAATATAGAAAAGATACAGTCAAAATGAAGCAGAAAAGATAAAATATGGTACACCTGTATAGGGCACTTCCCATGAATGGAGCTTGCAGGATTGGAAGTTGCTCTGGGTGAGTCAGTGAGTGGGTGGTGAGCGAATGTGAAGGCCTAGGACATTACTGTACACTACTGCAGACTTTATAAACACTGTATACACTTAGGCTGCACCAAATTTATTTTTGAAATTTCTTTCTTCAATAATAAATTAAACTTAGCTTACTGTAACTTTTTTACTTTATAAACACATTATTTAAAACTTTTCGACTCTTGTAATAATACTTAGCTTAAAACATCATCCACTTTAAAGTTGTACGAAAATATTTTCTTCTTTTATATCTTTATTCAATAAACATTTTTCTATTTTCATTTTTAAAAAATTTTAAACTTTTTTTTTTAAAACAATACTAAGGCAGGAGCAGTGGTGCACACCTGTAATCCCAGCACTTTGGGAGGCCGAGGCGGGTGGATTGCTTGAGGCCAGGAGTTTGAGACCAGCCTGACCAACAGAGTAAAACTCCGTCTCTGCTAAAAATACAAAAATTAGCCGGCGTGGTGGTGCATGCCTGTAATCCCAGCTACTCAGGAGGCTGAGGCAGGAGAATGGCTTGAACCCAGGAGGCAGAGGTTGCAGTGAGCAGAGATTGCACCACTGCACTCCAGCCTGGGCGACAAAGTAAGGCTGTCTCAATAAATAAATAAATACATAAATAGCAAACAAAATAAAATACTAAGAAACAAACACGCATTAGTCTAGGCCTATACAGGGTCAGGATCATTCATATCACCTCTACCTCCACATCTTGTCCCACTGAGAGGTCTTCAGGGCAATAACACACATGGACCTGTCATCTCCTATGACAACAGTGCCTTCTTCTTACACATCTATGGAAGGACCTGCCTGAAGTTGGTTTGCAGTTAACTTTTTTTTTTTTAAATAAGTAGAAGAAATACAGTCTAAAACAATGATCAAAAGTATAGTATAGTAAGTGCATAAACCAATAACAGTTGTT
Source organism: Homo sapiens (assembly GCF_000001405.40). Taxonomy (NCBI): domain Eukaryota; kingdom Metazoa; phylum Chordata; class Mammalia; order Primates; family Hominidae; genus Homo; species Homo sapiens. The sequence continues at coordinate 16,549,245 of NC_000006.12, forward strand.
TATTACCATTATCAAGCATTATGTGCTGTACCGAATTGCATGTGCTCTACTCTTACATGACTGGCAGCACAGTAGGGTTGCAGCATCACAGCAAACATATGAGTAATGAGTTGCACTAGGACATTACAATGGCTACAACATTACTAGGCGATAAAAATTCTTCAGCTTCATTATAATCTTATGGGACTATCATGATATATGTGACCCACTGTTGACCCAAATGTCGTTATGCGGCACATGGCTGTAAAAAGCCATAAGTGAGGGAAGCGGAACCAGCTCCCATATAGGTGTCTGTTGTCCCACAGAGGATACCACCGATGCCCCAGGTTGTCCACTACTGCTTAAAGGGCACATTCAAGAATAGGCATGCTGGCCAGGTGCAGCGGCTTACGCCTGTAATCCCAGCACTTTGGGAGGCAGAGATGGGCGGATCACCTGAGGCTGGGAGTTCGAGACCAGCCTGACCAACATGGTGAAACCCCGTCTCTACTAAAAATGCAAAATTAGCAGGGCATGGAGGTGCATGCCCGTAATCCCAGCTACTCAGGAGGCTCAGGCAGTAGAATAACTTGAACTCAGGAGCAAAGATTGTGGTGAGCCGAGATCGCACCATTGCACTCCAGCCTGGGCAACAAGAGCGAAACTCTGTCTCAAAAAAAAAAAAAAAAAAAAAGGAATAGGCATGCCATTCTCACTCATAAGTGGGAGTTGAAAAATGAGAACACATGGACACAGGAAGGGGAACAACACACACCGGGGTCTGTTGGGGACTGGGGTGGGGAGGGGAGGGAACCTAGATGACAGGTTAATAGGTGCAGCAAACCACCAGAACACATGTATACCTATGCAACAGACCTGCATGTTCTACATATGTACCCCAGAACTTAAAGTAAAATAAATAAATAAAATACAAAAAAAAAAAAAAAAAAAGAATAGGCATGCAATGCTTATGGACACACCCTAGCAAGTGGTCACTGGTTTTACATGGATACCAAGGCTTCCCTCTTGCCTTCCCTCCTGCACCCTCTCAGCTCTGGCAATGTGGCTATCACACAATCTGCATGTCAACATGGCCTCTTCCAACCACATGCTCCTGTCAACTTTCCATCCTCTTCTGCATATTCAGCCCACACTTGTTCCTTCTTCTTTCATCCCTTGTATATTTGGGACAATCTGAGAGGGTATCCTAGAAAAGGGAATCCAAATACATTTTGATCTATTTCTACAGTAGGCATAATTATTAGGCCATAAGTGAGACCATGATGGTTACTGTTGACTATGCTCTTCTGTAGTTTTAAAAGTGCCTTTCATGCATAATAGTTGCAGAATATAATTACTTAACAACCCTAATAAATAGTAACATAATTATTCCCAATTTATAGAAAAGAAACTGAAGCTCAAAAAGGTTAGGTAAGTCAGCCATGGACACACAGCTAATAAACCACAGAGCCAAAATACTCATCTCTTCGAATGTCAAGTTCTATACATTTTTTGCAACATATAGTATGACACAGTCTGTATTAGATTATCAAAAAGGATTAAGTTTTTTTCTTGACTATAAGCAATATGGTAGCAATAATATCACCTCATGTTTGTATTCCATATTTGAAAACATTTTCCAAAATGTTTTAACTTCAGGTCTTATTTTTCCTTATAAAAATCATGAGTTACTCCTAGCCCCATTTTACAGATGATAAATTAAGGCAGAGGTTATGCAACTTGCCTAAATAAACTAATGAGTTGACAGTGGACCTGAAGTTAGAATCACTGCATCCTAATTCAAAAACTAGTATGGCTTTTCAGAGGGGATAATTCAACCTAACATCCTTGGAGACATAACACTGGAGATAAAATAACATAAATGAAGAATAAAAAGAAAAATCTTGGATAAGTTCCTACATATTTTACTGCAGGAAGAAGCCACATGTATTTCTGTGATGGGTTTGCAGAACGGATCCCAGCGCTGTGAAGGAGGCCAGTCTAGACGGGCTCCCATATCCCTTAGAACACATAAAGGAAGCTATTCTAGGCAAGTCATACAAGACTTGTGATTGGTGAAAACAGAGAATATATTTTCTAATTCATGACAGGCCCCAACATTCCCTTTGGTCTTTCACGATCTGAATTCATGAAAGAAAGATTCCAGAAGGAAGTGGAATCTGAGCTAATGCTAAAGAAATAAAACAGCTTGAGAAAAAGTGGGAAGAAACGTGTGCTAATATGTTCAAGAGACCATTGCGGTTGGAGGTGTATGTGTGTGGGGAGACAGAAGTGGGAGAGGAGGAAAGAAGAGGTTACATGGTGGAGGGTGTCAAAGGTCTTGCTGAGTAATTTGAGTTGATTCTGTAAAATCTGAGGGACTTCTGAAGATTTCCGAGCAGGGGAATGCTTTCATTAGATGTGTACTATGTCTACTGCTTCTAAGTGAGTGACTCTGAAATCCACAAGTCGAGCCCTGACCTCTCTTTCCAAGATGCAGATCTGTTTTTCTGAATGCCTGCTGCACGTCTCTACACAGCTATCCTGCTGTGGCGCTTCCAGCTGGGCATGTTAGATCTCTACAGTCCCTAATGGTCTGTGATTCTAGCAGAAGTTACGGGTCTGAAAATTTGACATTTCCCTTGAAAACACTGAAAATAAGGAAAAGAAAAGTCATATTCAAGAGGAAGAGCAAAAAGAGGAGCGTCTTTAAATCGAAAAATCAAGTCTATGTTAGTCATTTCTCTCTGGCTGTGCTCGGGCTGTGAAACTGCAAGATGCACCTGTGTGCGTATAGGATGGTGGACGTGTGCATAGGTGGATATGTGTCGTGGGAGGACACAGGAGGTACTGCTAAGGCACTCTCCAAGGACACATGCTCTCAATGACAACCCAGAATGGTTTTCTTGCCACTCAAAGATGCTACTCACACGTGGAGAGGCTGGCTCTAGAAACAATTAAAGTCCAGAATAAGGATCCTAAATTGCTCAATATTTTAAACATTCTATGCCACTGTACCCCAACTCACACTTGTCTTTCTAACCAGCTCACTCTATGTCTAATGAGCAAGTCATCCCTAAATCCTTATGAAGCCATGTAGTGGGGAGTGTCCCCCATAAAGACAGGTGAAGAACTCCAAGATACTCCTTTAACAGGAGTAAAGGTATTTTTCTATTAAAATGTCCTTCTGCTGCTTCAAAAGAAAAAATATTGTGCACAACGTTACGTTAGCAGAGAGAAGACGAAGCAGCACCTTCATTCACACAGTGTGTTTTGAATAAGGTGTAATTTATCAGGTAGAGAAATTTCTCTTCTCTTTTCTGGACATAGCTTCCAACAGCAAAAATTAGAAGTGTAGGTGGGTTGCCACTCCACTCACTAAATTTATAAAAGATACTCAAAGATACTCACACTTTTCACAAGTCTACCCCCATCTGCCCACATCCAGCATCTATCTTCGCTGTGACAGAAATAATTACTATCCGCTGTACAGCCTTGACTGGCGGAGCTGGCCAGAACATTGCCTTACGGGGGTGTATCACCTTGAAGTCTGTTTACCTGCTGGTCCATGTCAATGATGTTCAGCTGCACTCTGCGCTTCCACATCTGTTTAACTTCCACTCACACTCATACTAAATTCTACTCCAGAGCAACGTGGCTGGGCCTCTTCTGTCTAAGGATGTGGCTGCTCCACGTATTTCCGATGACAGAATAGCAAATCATTAAAACGCCAGAGAACCAAAGGGCTTCGACTTCAGGAGACCTCCTTGTGGGCAATCGCACAGATACCATGACTTTCCAATCTTTTCGGAGGTGTTGTTCAAATTCCGCTTTCGTTCAGGCTATGCGCCTCTAGGAGGTGGCCTCTCTACGTGGCTACCCTGCCATGGCCCTTCCAGCTGGCCATTGGCAGCGCCAGGACACAGCATAAAGAAAACTGTGGTTTGGGTCTTATAAGATCACTGACAGCCAAGCATACATTCCAAATACTGTATGACTCAAAGGCTATCTCGAACACTTATTACAAATGTGTAATACTCCATTTTTCCTTCTAGATTAAAGACTATCCCTTTCATGGCGTTATTTCACCCCAAACCTCTCTAAGGTAGATCTTGCTCCTGTCCGGGTTCAGGAAACTCTTGACCCTCATGGAAGTCCTGCATGGCCTTCCAAGTGAGGGTCAGTTGTCACTCCAGGATGCTTCCACCATACTTTGTATTTCCGTCTCACAGTACCTTTCTCAGTGCACGGTAATTGACTAGATATGTTCTATCCACTCTCCTATAATAACTATAATGTAGTGCCATGTGGGTAGGGGCCATTTTTATCTTGTCTACCTTAGTATCTTCAGAACTTAGCACTCTGCTTGGTACATGGCAGACTCTCAAAAATATCAGTTGACAGACTGATTGAAAATAGAATCCGTGGTTCTGAATAATGGCTATTTACTCACCCCAGTCCAGCATGCATACCACTGTCTGTTACCGCATGGGCCCTCACCATGGCCCTCAACAGCCCATGGCCACAGCTATTGCCTGGGACTGACCATCCCTACTAGGAATGTGTCACGCCCCTAAATGAGACTGTGAGTTTTCTCTGCTTAAAGACAATCAGAAACCAAAAGCTATTATAGCTTTCTCCTTCCAGAGATCCAAGGGGCCTCAAAAAATCTTAAAATAGGGAAAGCTTTGAAAGGCAGTATAGGCAAAGCCTAAAGCATTTAGGGGTGGGAACAGTTATCCCTTTGTACATAAACATCTTTGAAGGACAGGGCAGCACTGTGAGTCTCCATTTTCATGGAGTGCTAGGCTAGCATATTTTAAAGAAGAAGATATCTTTTATGACACAGATACTTGCACCATAAATTGTAAGTAGATTAGGATATGTCTATGCCACAACACACAATCGTTTAAGATGATGTAATCGAGGGACAAAAATAATTTGGGGGCTAAAATGATCAACTCCACACAAGAATAATCTACTAATGGTATAACAAGTGATTCATGGAAAAGATGATCCTGGCAAAACAATAACTTTTGTTCAAGGCCATCAAGAGGTTTTCCCTAAAAATCTACTATGCGTTTAGCCCTGTGCTAAGATTTGTGGAAAATATGGAAGAAATCATTACCCTGGGCCAGAGCTCATTTCCTCCCCAATCTCTAAACCCACCCGAGAGACATTACTGTCACATTTCCAAAATGCAAATGAAATGCTGTCCCTCATGTCTACAGCTTTTTTATTTTTTGAGATGGAGTTTGGTTCTTGTCGCCCAGGCTGGAGTGCAATGGTGCGGTCTTGGCTCACTGCAACCTCCAGCTCCCAGATTCAAGCAATTCTCCTGCCTCAGCCTCCTGAGTAGCTGAGATTACAGGCGCCCGCCACCACGCCCGGCTAATTTTTTTGTATTTTTAGTAGAGATGGGGTTTCACCATGTTGGCCAGGCTAGTCTCGAACTCCTGACCTCAGGTGATGCACCCACCTCAGCGTCCCAAAGTGCTGGGATTACAGGCACATGCCACCACGCCCGGCTAATTTTTTTGTATTTTTAGTAGAGATAGGGTTTCACCATGTTGGCTAGGCTGGTCTCGAACTCCTGACCTCAGGTGATGCACCCGCCTCAGCCTCCCAAAGTGCTGAGATTACAAGCATGAGCCACTATGCCTGGCCATGTCTACAGCCTTTAACGACTCTCCATCATCGTGACTATAGTCTGAACAGGATACACGAGTCCCCACTCAATCCCACGCTGGCTCATCTGTCCTGTCTCAATGAGTGAAACTCCCCATCTCATACCCTGGGACTGAGCCATGCTCTACTACAGTTCCCTGGGTTTCAAAGATTCCTCCACACCCATGCCTTTGAAAATGCTGCCCTTCTATGCTTAGAAGCACTTCCCAAGAACATGCTTCCTGTTTATTGTACATAATCCATCTCAACCATCATCTCGGAGGTCTTTCCTACAAACACTCCTTCATCCTTGGTCCTGATGTGATACTCTTTCCATCCCTTGCTTCCTGTGCTCCACTTACAAACACTGCCTGAGCAACTGCTCTCTACAAGCCCCATGTGAGGTGCTAGATGTACAACATCTCATAAGTACATACAAAAGCCGTGAACTGTAGGCATTACTTGCAGATGACAAACTAGGCTCAGAAAAGTTCAGTAGCTTGGTCAAGTTCACACAGCCAGTGAGCTCCATGCTTTTGGCTCTGAGGCCCTGGTTGGCTTCTCCTAAACACACCACCTAACAATGCTACCATATGTCAAACTCAACACTAAGGCAGACTCGCCTAAGACACCCACCCAGAGCCCAGTGGTTCCTACAATCGGAAAATCACATAAAAGAAAGTTTTGACATGAGACCGGCTGTCAAATAGACACCTCTGCAGGCCAGGGGTGTGTGTGTCTAAAACCAACTGGGTGGCCACATTGTTCTGCAGTCTGTTTGCCTTCCAGTGCTTTCTTTCCTGCCTGTCATGCAGATAATTGTGTAGTGTGTCCCAAGCAACAGGACGCATCAGTTTCCCTAATTTATGGAGTCAGCCTAAACTCCTTTTGTTTATGACCACAACACACTAACTCTGTATGTTAGATGTTTCCAACAAGCATCAAAGCCTCAATTGTTACTGTCTTTTGTTTTGTTTTCCAGTTCTGCTAATGCAAGGGACAGCCTGTCCTGGTATTTATTACTAGAGTAATGTCAGGTTTGGGGTTAGCTCATAAAATACCTCTCTAGTTTGGCTTTCTTTGCAAGAGATCAAAACATTCTTTTTTCTTTAATGGCACCATCAAAAAGAATCAACATATAAACATGTTTCAATAGGCATTCTTTTTCCTCTTGTGGTTTCTCAGTATTTGGAACTCTGTATTATTATCTTTTGCTTACAAATGATAAAATATTTCACTATTTTCTTGCAAGCCTTTTCGGAGACTCTTTATCATTTTGGTTGACAATTAGTGTTTTGTGTCATTTTTTGGTAATAATATTTTGGGGAAAAAAACTACCCTAGTAATATTTGGTTTATCAGGTGACTTGATCTGGGGGGACGCTGAGGAAAATGAGGTATACTTTTATCTCGTTTCTTCCATCCCATTCTTCCACCTTTCTTCCTTTTCTCTCTTAGCAAAAGCCTTTACTACATATTCCTATAGCTTCTTAGTCTTTTTACTTCGTTGGCAAAAGAAAAATAGCATGAGATTAAAATACAATTGCTGCCTTCTTCCTTTATAGCACAGACTTCCCACTCATAAACTCCTGTCAATGCTGGTAAGAAAAATCAGACTACTATTTTATCACTGCGGGAGAACTAACACAGCATACTTTACCTTTCTGCAAATAATTCCGTCAGATTCAGCATTTCCAAAACGTTTTCTACTCATTATAAAAGCCCTACAAACGCCAAATGGACAATAAACAGGCTCCACCCCAAAGGCAGGCTCACTGTTAATGGGGGAACATGAGAAGCATCCCATTAAAAATAGGAACAACATGAGGATGTCTACCATCATCTCTGTTATTTAACACTGATCTGTTAAACTTAGCCAATTTAACTGCATAAGAGAAATAAATAAGGGATATAAAAATTATAACAGGCAGAAAAATTATTATTTATAAATGCTATGATCTGAGCAAGTCAATTGAACAACTTATTAATTAGAGAATTCTGTAGGGTAACTGAAACAAAAGAATATACAAAAATCAATAACCTTTCTAAAGGACAACCAGTAAAAAGGTATCCCATATTTAAATAACAACAAAAATATAAAATGCCTAGGGATAAACTGAAGGAGGACTATATGCAAGATCTACATAAAGAGGGCTGGGTGCAGTGGCTCAGGCCTATTATTCCAGCACTTTGGGAGGGCGAGGTGGGCAGATCACTTGAGGTCAGGAGTTCGAGACCAGCCTAACCAAACATGGTAAAACGCCGTCTCTACTAAAAATACAAAAAAATTAGCCAGGTGTGGTGGCAGACACCTGTAGTCCCAGTTACTGGGGAGGCTAAGGCACAAGAATCGCTTGAACCTGGGAGCCAGAGGTTTCAGTGAGCCAAGATTGTGCCACTGCACTTTAGCCTGGGAAACAGAGTGAAACCCCATTTCAAAAAAAAAAAAAAAAAAAACAAATCTACATAAAGAAGAATGTTAAATACTACTGAGGGACAGAGGAGGAGATAGGAACAACTGCAAAGGTCTATCTTCTTCTTGAATAGAAAGTCAATATCAAGAGAATAATTCTTTCTATATTTATCTATAAACTTATATGATGTCAAAAATACAAATTAGAAAGCTAATTCTGAAGTTCCTATGGAAAAATAAACAGGAAAGAATGGCCATAACAATGATATAAAAAGAAATAAGAAAAGAATACCATACCGATATTAAAAATATTATAAAGCCTTAGAAAGTAAAACAGTGTGCATGGGCACAGGAATACTTAGCAAGGTCAACAGAAAAGAGGTCGATCCAAATGAATACTGGACTTCAGTGAATGATATGGGTGTCACTGCACTTTAGTGGGAGGAAGGACTTCCAATAATTGGACGGCCACCTAAAAAAATATAGATCCCTAATTCACATCCTGCACTAAAATAAATCCCAAGGTGACCAAAGATTTGAACGTAAAAAATGAAAGCATAAAAATATGAGAAAGAACCTTGAAAACATTACGCTAAGTGGAAAAGTCAGTTGTGTAAGGCCACACATTATATGGTTCCATTTATATGAGATGTCTAGGACAGGCAAATCCATAGAGATAAAACATAGATTAAGTGGATACCAGGGGCCAGAAGGTAGAGGAAATGGGGGAGTGGGTGCTTAATGGGTAAAGGTTTTCTTTTTGGAGTAATGAAAATGTAAAATTAGGTTTTGATGATGATTGTATAATTCTATGAATAGATTAAAAACCCATTTATTAAAAGACTGCATTGTGGCTGGGCACAGTGGCTCACACCTGTAATCCTAGCACTTTAGAAGGCTAAGGCAGGAGGCTGCTTGAGCCCAGGAGTTCCAGGTTGCAGTAAGCTGTGACTGCACCACTGCACTCCAGCCTGGGTGACAGAGCGAGATCCTGTGTCAAAAAAAAAAAAAAAAAAGAAAAAAAAAAGGTAAGTTTTACGATATATGAATCATATCTCAATAAAACCTTTTTAATTTTTATTTTCTTTTAGAGACAGGGTCTCACTCTGTCACCCAGGCTGGAGTGTAGTAGCACGACCATAACTCACTGCAGTCTCAAACTCCTGGGCTCAAACAATCCTTCCACCTCAGCCTCCCGAGTACAAACAGGCGTGCGCCACCATGTTTGGCTATTTATTATTATTATTATGTAAAAACAGGGTCTCCCTGTGTTGTCCAGACTGGTCTCTAACTCCTGGCCTCAAGTGATGCTCTCGCCTTGGCCTCCCAAAGTGCTGGGATTACAGGCATGAACCATTGTGCCTGGCCAAAACTATTATTTTTAAAATACTAATAAAAAATACGAGACAATTTAAAAATTATAATTACTGCGTAGAAGAGACCTAAGTATGTAAAAAAATTAAAAGCCAAAAAATAAAAATCTGATAAATAAGATGACTTTAATTTTTTAAAACCCTGCATGAAGAAAACATAAAGTCAAAAGACAAACGGAAAAATTTAAACTAAAATAGCATAAGACAAAAGGACTAATCTTTTTAGCTGTTACATGCTCCTAAAAAAAAAAGTCAATTCACAGGATAAACCAAAAACGTAGTAGAAAAATGGGCAACGAGGATGAATATACATTTCCCAGAAAAGAAAATAGGAACGGCTTTTAAACATATGAAAGTATATTCAACCACCACTATAATAACAGAAACCCATATTAAAGCTACTAGAATATAGTAGTTTTCACCTCTCAGATTGGCAAAGATCGTGAAGTTTAAAAACATCGTCTGTGGAGAAAAGCACACTCAAACAGTGCTAGCAGGAACATACAATAGGACGAATGCCAAATTGGAGGGCAATTTGGCAAGGTTTACCAAAATTAAAACTGCATATTCCTTTTGATCCAACAATTCCCCTTTAGTAATTTCTCCTCCAGAGATCCTTGCTGACATACAACATGCTATTTATAGAGAGTTGTTCACTGAAGCATTGTTCATAGTAGCAAGTGACTGGAAACAACCAAAAAAAAAAAAAAAGTCCATCAATGTGGGACTGAATACTTTATGGCAAAATCATACAATCGAATACTATTTAGATACTAAAAAAGAATAAGGCTGTTCTATGTTCCGATAAGAAAGGTTTTCCAGGACACACTGTTAGGTGAAAAGAGGTAAAGGGCAGAATAGTGTATGGGGTGTAAACATTGTTTTAAAAAACCTATATTTTTGCTTATATAATCATAAAATATCCTTAAAAGGACTCACAAGAAAATGATAATGGTACTTGCTTCTAGGTGAGAATTCAAGTGACTTAGACACAGAAATAAGAGAGATGCTTATTTTTCCTTGTACATCTATCGTACCTTCTGTATATCTAGCAATTCAAAACAATATTAATGCTTCAAAAAGAAAGAAAAGAAACCAAGCATACCAAGGACACTGAAATATAAAAGGAGCAAAGTACGTGGTCTAATTTTGGATAGCTTTGTTATTTTTAGTATGTTTAATAAAAAAAAAATAAAGTTTTTTAAACCCTCAAAATTGACTGCCCAGGAAACTGATTTCAACTTTTCCCAAATAGAGGCATTTGGCTAAGCTTCCTGTACACATGTCTGCACCGCCTCCCCACCCCACCATCACAGGAGACGGGACCACCTCCAAGACCAAGTGGATAATTCAATCTTCATAATCCATTCAAATTTGCCCTCTGTTGTAGCTGGAGATATGCCAACGAGAGGGGTTTGTTTAGATTTATCCTCAGGATGCAAAGAAAAAGACCAATTTTACTTATTCTGCGTAGCTGAATTTTTAGGTCTTCCAATGGTCATCAGTTAGGGTTAGAACGAAAACAGCTGTAAAAATGTCCTGACAGGAGCTGGAGACCAGCCTGGCCAACATGGTGAAACCCCGTCTCTACTAAAAATACAAAAATTTGCTGGGCATGGTGGCAGGTGCTTGTAATCCCAGCTACTCGGGAGGCTGAGGCAGGAGAATCGTTTAAACGGGGAGGCGGAGGTTGCAGTGCACCGAGATCACACCATTGCACTCCAGTTTGGATAGCAAGAGCGAAACTCCACCTCAAAAATAAAAATAAAAAAATAAAAAATAAAATGTCCTGACAAAGACTATAGTGAGCTCATCAGACATTCCTTTAATATGCTTGTTCTAAAGGGGGCAGGGGTGGAGAGAGAAGACTAGAATTGGTCTGCAGGGCCCAGCTCCTCTCAGACACCCGTCTTGGAGGAGGTTAGAAGAGTGTTCAGGGTAATGGGCCAGCAACACTAAAATGTCCCAGACTCCAATGAAGCTTCTCATTCTACCACTCCTGCAGAGATTCTTGTAGCAAATCCCTGGGTTTTTCACCTTGCCTGTCAAGCACAACTTTTTTGATTCCCTTGAAGACACATTCAGCATCACAAAAGAGGTGGTAAAGCTTACTTTCCCCCAATTATGACCATTTTTAGCATCACAGTCAATTTTCCACTGTCCACCTGATGGACCGGAGGGCAAAGCTGGCTGAAATTCACAGGTAATCCCAACTTTATTTTAGTCAAACATATCAACCTTGCCTCTTCAAAATGAAAAAACAACCTCTTGTTCCTTTCTTCTTTGTTCATAGGAGAACAAAATGGGAGTGATGTAATTAGTGGAGACAATGGGAGTGAGTAATTAGTGTGCTTTGTATACAATGTAGAGAAACTATTGAAAAATAAAATAAAAAGAATTTTATGAAATATTCTATAAAAGTCAGGCTTCCTACCCAGATGACCTTCGGAAAAATTTCTCTGAATCCCTGATGCCTTGGGTATCCAGTATGCAGTATATCTGATACAAGAGATTGGAGGATCCATGAGTTCATTCTGGGCTGTATAGTGATGCCATAACACTCATTGCTATTTTCCAAGCTTGAGAATCATTTAATATTTCCCTAAAACTATCTGATTAACTGCAAAATGGTGCACTGAGCAATGATAATATTTTTGCAATTACAGGAGTTAATTATTTTGGTTCAGACTATACAACAACCCTCTCCCACCCACCTCTCCACAGATACATTTTGCTAAGTTTTGCTTTTCTTCATTGGTAAATAAAAATGGGACATTCACCAACAAGTTCCCATAGAGCCATACTTTTCACTCCTTTCATTTAGCAAACATTGACACAATATTTACTGTGTTTAAGGACAGGGGTTAAATTCTCAATATACTGTCTCATGAGTACATAGTTTAAAAGAAATGTGTTTCAACAAATAATTTGAAAACCAAGTAAAAGTAAGAAAGGTCCCATTAAAAATGTGGACCAAAAAAAAGATAACTTCCTGGGGTCATTTGAGATTATGTCATAAGGAGAACACAGAATTTGATGTGGTCCTGGAAAAGAATATATAGAAATGCAGAGAGGGGAGGCAGGAGGATGATCCTAGGTGAAAGAAACCAGAGATGCAACAGAAGCAGAAAACCAAGGGAGCTTGAGGTGTGAGAGGAACATGTATATAATTATGGGGAAGCCTGGGCTGCAATGAGTAAGGTTAGGAAGGTAGGCTGTAACCAAGTCACAACACTCCCTCAGGACCTGGAAGATGTAAACAAGGAAGAAAAGTGGTTATACACACTTAGGCAGAATCTACTTTTAAGAATAAGTACGAAAAGGGACAAAAGAAGGAAGACATAAAGAAGAAATGATCAGAGCAGTAGAGGGTAAGAGAAAATAAAGGCAGATAAAGAGTGTTTTCAGAAACAAATAGGCTGATGCAGTGGCTCACACCTGTAATCCCAGCACTTTGGGAGGCCGAGGCAGGCGGATTGCTTGAGCTCAGAGTTGGAGACCAGCCTGGGCAACACAGCAAAACCCTGCCTCTACAAAAAATACAAAAATTAGCCAGGTGTGGTGGCCTGCACCTGTAGTCCCAGCTATTTGGGAGGCTGAGATGGGAAGATCACTTGAGCCCGGGAGGCAGAGGTTGCAGTGAGCCAAGATCACCCCACTGTACTCCAGCCTGGGCAACAGAGCTAGATCTTGTCTCAAAAAAAAAAAAAAAGAAGAAGAAGAAAGAAGAAAGAAGGGGAATGGGGAAGGGGAAGGAGAAGAAAAGAAAAGAAAGAAAAGGAGAGGAGAGGAGAGGAGAGGAGAGGAGAGGAAAGGAAAGGAAAGGAAAGGAAAAAGAAAAGAAAAGAAACAAAAGAAAAAGAAAAGAAAAGAAATGAAATGGCTGGCAGCAGCCACCGTAGGAAATACAGCCCAGAGGTCTAGGAGTAACCACTGAATAAAAGCTTACTAGTTTGAGTCCATCTTAGGCCAGTGAAGACATTGGGCCGAGAAGTTTCCAGTGCTTGGATGACAGAGAAGAACTGGTGACTAAGACTTCAGTGGGTGGTAATAATCTGGATGAATAGAACACAGACTATGTTTTCAAAACATGTTGAGGTTAAAGAAAGAATAGAGAAATGGAAATTGCCTGAGGAGAACAAGGTCAAAATAAGGGCTCCTTTAGTTTTTAAAAGACAGGCCACACCACTAGGCACATTCATAGACTGAAGAGAAGGTTTTGGTTAAGATGAAGATAATGAAAGATCAAGCAGGAGAGGGAGATAACCTAGGTGACAAAGCCTCAGAGAAGTCAGGGTAGAGAGGGATCCAGAAAACGAGGGGTCTTGGAGCCTTGCGGAGTGGGAGGTCTTCTTGCTCCTCTGGGATGCGTGAGCACAGCATGCAACACTTGTCTGCAACTGTGAGACAGGAGCAACGGACAGAATTAAAGGGAAAAAGAGAGTAGAAGGATTCATGCCTGGATTCTTCAAGATTTTAAAAAAGCAAGATGAATAAATGGTCCTCTACCAAAGTGAGGGTGAGGGTAAGTTTTGAAGAGACTGGAAAAGTTTGGAATAGATCCCATAAGAAATGTGACTATGAGCCCACTAGAAAAGCAATGATGACTCTCCTCAGATTAACAGTAAGAATTTACATCAGGACCCATCAGTTGGGTTTGGGGGCCTCTAAGCAGCTGTGCAGGTGATGGGGATCATGCAGGATTGGTGCCTGGAAAGGAATGCATGGCACTAAGCTATTGGGCATGCACAGTTAAACTTTCAAGCCATGAGGTCTAGGCTGGTTAGGGGGCAGGAATACGGAGCCTGAAGAAAGTGGCTATAGTGACCAAGAGTGGGGGATGAGTCAGGGCTCACAATAAGGAGACAACTGAGTTCTGAGGAAGAGAGGGAAAGCAAGGGGGTCAGGAGGCTATGCCCAGAGAGAACTACAGAGTCTGAGATTTTAAGATTTAGAAAGGTCCAAGTTGGGGGGTGTGAGGGTTCAAGTTGATACACAGGTCCGGGGTGTGGCAGTATCTCTGGGAAGCTGAAATGAAGGAAAGGTGAAGTCTTAAGGTGAGGAGATGAAGCAACTGCAGGGCAGAGAGAAGGGTCAGGTTAAACTTAACACCGGTCCATGACGCCGCTGCACTCAGACACAGAGGAAGTATTTCATCATCTTTTTGTCAACGGGGAACACAAATGCCCGCTCCAGGTCCAAGGGCTTAGGACGGAGCATCTGATTTATATTCCTTACTTTTTAGGATACAATTGGGAGAAGCTCACGAATAGAAAGAGAATTCTCTAAGATTTCAACAGGTGTATGATCTGGGATCATATCATGAGGGAGTCAACAGACAGCATGGACCTTGCTGAGTAAACAGGATGTGGGTCCAAATCCCAGCTCTTCTACCTTTTCAGCTGAATGACCTCCAGGCTTAGCAGCCTCTCTAAACCTCAGCCCCCGTCTATAAAGTGAGAAACATTGTAACACATACATGATGCTTAGCAGAGCGCCTGGGCATTCATACTTAGCAAAAGTTGGTTGATATTCTTACCCTTCTACAACTATGTTCTCAAGAAAAATCATTTTTGGGAGAGTGAGATAGGTAAGAAGAGAGAGGAGGCCATCGTGAAGCGAACAAATGTGTAAAATGAAAAAAAAATCACTTACAATCTTAATTTGTAACTACCTAAAAGTAGGCTGCACAGAGAAATGAAACTATGTCTACACAAAAACTTGGAAAGGAATGTTCATAGCAGCACTGTTCATAATAGTGAAAGAGTGGAGACAACCCAAATGTCCATCAACTGATAAATGAATAAACAAAATAAGGTATAGCCATACAATGTTACATTATTCCATCATAACAAGAAATGAATGACTGATGTATGCTGAAATGTGGATGATCCTTGAAAGCATTATGCTAAGTGAAAGAAGTCAGTCACAGAAGTCCGCATATTGCATGATTCTATTTATATGGAATGTCTAGAACAAGCAAATCTATATATAGAGAAACAGCTTCGTGGTTGCCAGGAGCTGAGGGTAGAGGATTGGGGGAAAATGGGAAGTGATTGCTGATGGGTATGGGATTTCCTTTAGGGGTGATGAAAATGTTCTAAAATTTATTGTGGTGATAGCTGCACAGCTCTGTAAATACACTAAAAAGCAATTCATTGCACTTTTTTTTTTAATTTAAATAAGCTATGCAGTCCTCAATGCCTCCTGCTCCCCATCTCCTGAATAAACAAGACTTTCTTCCCTGGGTGAGGGTCTTGATAGGTAGAATACTGTACACGGAATACAGAATTCAAGCAGTTCCTTGACTTATGAATATCAGAAGATGTCCATCCTCTTTCTCAGGAGACATTTCCAGGTGGATGCCAGAGGAGGTTATTTCTCTTCTTCCCATCTGCTTCTTTAAATCTTAGCTCCTGCATTCTGTTTCCCCATATGAGCATAGTGGTTAAAAATCAATCTCTGCTTTATCTTCACAGGCGAAAGCTTTAAAGTGGACAGGTCTTTCATACCTAGTTTGAAGTTTATGAAAAAGAATAAGGGGGCTACTCTGGAGTACTGTGAGTTTTTTCTGCTTCTCCACACCATAAGGACAGGGTCCCTGTAAGCAATTGTCCTCCAAACCAATCCACCTAATAGGCCACATCATTTTGTTTAGGGAAGAAACTGCAAAAAGAGATTACTGAAAAATCATTCCCCATAATCTATTTATTTGATGTTTGATTTATCTGATAAACATGCCAAAATATTGCCTAAAAAGTAATCTCTAACATCATATTATTACTTCCAGGAAATCAACCTTCTCCATAAAAATCAACAGTGTTTTTAAAGGAACGTTGAGGTTAAAAAAATCAGAATGACAATTTATTCATTTGCAAAAATAACAATAATCATAGTAATAATAATAATTTCCACATGAACCAGAAGGTCTCTGGGTAATGCTGGCTTTTAACCACAAACACACACATGCACACCAACAGAAACTGCCTTTGCTATTTGAACATTCCAGGAATCAAATGAAAACATTGCTCAAAAAATTTCCAGGTAAACCATGTTAATATCTAGGGTTAATAAAGTCTCTTTAAATGTTAATAAAGTCTCTCCATAAAATGTTCAGCCCTGAAGACACAGAACAAATGATAAAACATCATGTTTTATAACAGGTTACTATGGTCAATGGAGTATCAGCTATAAAATATAAACTTCTACTGAGGAAAGCACATCCGGCAAGTGTAAAATAGCCCACTGGGTCCAATTTCCATGAAGAGGTGCCAGCTCCATTTGGTATGTACAATCTACAAATGAATCCAAGCACTATCAGAACTGTTAACTGCATGACTCTGGATGGTAGGGGGAGGGAAGGGTCTCAAAAAAGAGAGAAAAAGGATTTTTCAGGATACTGGAAATTGAGAGCAGATTATAAAAGATTTACGTTGAATAACAAGAATAAAGCTTTCATGTATCTCTATGTGAAAAAAATAGCCTAGAAATCTGTAAACTCCAACTTGTCATAAAACATAAATCCGTGACACTTAATGACTTATAATCTACAATTAACATTTCATGTTTTTGCATCCAGATATAAGAAATACAATGCCCTATTCTGTTTTTGCTTGGGTGAGGCTAAAAAACTCAGTACCACCATGTTTTTTGTAGGGTCAAAGAGACGGCTAAGAGATCCCCTTAATTAATAATTTTTGTTGGCATTTTACAACTCTGGATTCCCCCAAACTCCTGCAGCATTGGTGTAACTTCTAGCTACTCTCATAACATTGCTGTAATCTCAAACTCCTGGGCTCAAGCGATCCTCCCGCCTCAGCCTCCAGAGTAGCTGGACTATAAGCACATCTCACCATGCCTGGCCAATTAAAAAACAAACAAACAAACAAACAAACAGGCTGGGCGCGGTGGCTCACGACTGTAATCCCAGCACTTTGGGAGGCCACGGCGGGCGGATCACGAGGTCAGGAGATCAAGACCATCCTGGCGAACACTGTGAAACCCCGTCTCTACTAAAAATACAAAAAAAAATTAGCCGGGCATGGTGGTGGGTTCCTGTAATCTCAGCTACTCGGGAGGCTGAGGCAGGAGAATCGCTTGAATCTGGGAGGCAAAGGTTGCAGTGAGCCGAGATCACACCACTGCACTCCAGCCTGGGCAACAGAGTGAGACTCCGTCTCAAAAACAACAACAACAACAACAACAACAAAAACATTTTGTAGAGGTGGGTCCTCACTGTGTTGCCTAGGCTAGTCTCAAACTCCTGGCATCGTAAGTTGTCTTTCATATGCTTTGGCATTCAATGCTCAGTAACAACCTGAGCATATTTAATTATAATGCCTCACCTTTAAATAGTACTCTACAGTTCATAAAGTGCTTTCTTTCACACTGATGTAGCCTTCCTTGTATTAAATCACAGCTTTGCAGTTCAATTTTTGCAAAACCCTTTCAAAGGTACTTGTCAATTAATGAAGATTAAACATAAAGGTGATCTGGAATCTATGAGGACAATCTGGGGGGATATGACTGCCAACTGAAGATGGCAGAAAAAACATGCCATTGAAATTATTCTCACAGTTTTGACAGTAGAGAAAAACCATCAAAAGATACCACAAAATGCATAAAATTAAAGGGAAATGTTTCTTGCATGGGCTGCAGTACTGTTTTAAACAGAAGGGAAAGACCATTAAACATGACTGGTATTCACTAAATTTTAACTACACTGGCATCAAAGTCTGAGCCTGTGAGTGCAAGTCAGAATAACTTGCGCTTATTCTGAAATAAATGTTTCTTTCCACTGCAAGGGTGCATGTGTGAGGGGGGAACAAAGTATTCTTTTTAATATGGAAGCACATCACCCTGACAATCTAACTCTGACAAGCTTGCATAGTCCTAGGCATTCTATTTCTACCTCCTAACAGAACAGCATCAGCAACATTTGTGATCATATTCTGTCAGCTGCTCTGCTAACAATGAGAAATTTTTACTTGTATATGGATAGTAAGTTCCCTGAGAAGGCATATCTCCAGGACCAGTGTTCCGCCTTTTTACTTTACAATCTAATGTCAGCAAGAGTATTTTTGTGCACACATTACCCATGCACACAGCTTAGAAATAAACAAGGTGTGTAAACTGCAAATTGGTTCCACAGAGCAAATAACTGATTCACCAGATATCTGTAAAAGCAAATATAAAATCCATGAATTATGTCTCTGTATTGAAAAACCATAAAATGCTCAGGACCTTTATGTTAACTAAAGTATTTTCCTTCCATGTGTTAGATTTTCCCCTTATATGTGTAGAACACACACACAAAAGAGAATTATAAACGTCAGAGCTCTTTTAACCTTTAAAAACCAACACAGTAATTATATTGCAAAGATATCTGACAACCCAGAGTAATACTAGAAAAGGATTATTTCTGCGCCCCCTTCTTTTAAATAGTTCTCAATTTTTCTACAATTTATAGGCGGACTGTGCAAAAGATTTTCATAGCCATGAATCCTATTAAAGATACATTGGGAGATAAAATAAAATCACTATTCCAATTCGCAAGAATATTTGAAACGCTGCCAAAGGGAATGTTTCTCCAAACATAAAGAGAGTATTAAATTTTAAGAGAGAGGCTATCATCAAAACGAAGGCAGAGAGAAGTACACATAAGTCAACCTGACAAGCCCATATTGATAAAGCAGAGATAAAAGTTATCTCCAGGTTACATGCCCGGTACAGGCAGTTCTCAATGTATGAATGAGTTGTATACAGAAAGTTCATTTGTAAGTCATTTATTTGAAACTCCAAACACATTTTCTCAGAGAAACAGTGTTATAAATAGTGCTTAGTTTTGCAGGAAGGCAAAAAGAGCTATAGAGCTTATAATATAGACAAACTCTAGTACCATGAGCAGGGGACAGGAGGTGAAGAAATCATGAGGAGGTGGGTGACTTACAAATGAACTTTCTTTTTCGGTACCTGGAAACAACCAAAGTTTTTTTTTTCTGGCATCTGTCTGCCTCTCCTATACTTCTCCCACTGTCTAAATGCTTCATCCCAGCCCATATAAGAGAGCACCAAAAAAATTTAATATAGTTAACCCTTTTTCCCAAACTCCCCTTCCCAAGTCCAGTTATCTGGCAATCAAAGGCTAATAAAGAGTTCAGTTCAGTAAAGACTTGTTTCTAGGTTTTGACAGCAGATCTAATCTTGAGAGAGAGGAATGGGGACATGACCAAGCTCTGGGTATACACACAAAGAATGAACCATCTGGGAGGACTGGATAATTTCAGGAATTTCCCCGTAATTTAGTAATGGTAAACAAGAACAGGACCCAGCTCCTAAGAAGTGCAGATGAATGAAGTAAAGTAGAAGCAGGTTCCTGACCAACAGGTATAGATCAAAGGCAGGGCTTCTATCCCACACCTGGTTTCTAGCGGCAGTATCTAGAAGGTTCCTTGCCTTTTCATGGGGAGCCACACATGACTGCCTGCTCTTCTTCCCATGAAGATAACATAAGGGACTGTCAGTTCAGACCCGGGTGGTTTAAAAGATGAAGAGTCCTGGCCTGGCGTGGTGGTGGCTCACGCCTGTAATCCCAGCACTTTGGGAGGCCAAGGTGGGCGGATCACCTGAGGTCAGGAGTTCGAGACCAGCCTGACCAACATGGTGAAACCTCGTCTCTGCTAAAAATAAAAAATAAAAAATTTAGCTGGGCATGGTGGTGTGAGCCTTGTAATCCTAGCTACTGGGGAGGCTAAGACAGGAGAATCGCTTGAACCCAGGAGGTGGAGGCTGTAGTGAGCCAAGCTCACACCACTGCACTCCAGCCTGGGCGACAGAGTGAGACTCCGTCTCAGAAAAAAAAAAAAAAAAAACAGTTCCGATTGACTCAGTGGTCTCCTGCTGTTCCTGAGACAGAGATATAATGCCCTGCAAATTACAGGGTACTCATGGCCAAATCTCGGGTGGGGCTGGGATGGGAGTAAAGATGACGTCAGGAAGGTATCCAGTTGTGGCAGAAACTGGTTAGTTGTTGAAAAAACAGTTTCCCTGTACTCCTTGACATACAGGCTGACAATTCTCCACTTTACCTGCAGTTGACTATGTCCACATGACTAAATTCTGGTCAAGGGA
Source organism: Homo sapiens (assembly GCF_000001405.40). Classification (NCBI taxonomy): domain Eukaryota; kingdom Metazoa; phylum Chordata; class Mammalia; order Primates; family Hominidae; genus Homo; species Homo sapiens. Next base: position 16,569,806 of record NC_000006.12, read on the forward strand.
ACATGGAAGGAAGTGGTATATGCCAATTTCACCAACAAACCTCCCAGGAGACTGCTCACTCTCTCGCTTCCCCACTTCTCTCTTCTGCCAGGTGCAGAAGATCCTTAGGGTCTCCCAACACTGAGGGAATGTCTGAGCCTTGCGATACAAGGACCCTGGGTCAGGGAATCACCACCATACAGACGCCCTCTCCAACTGCAGAACACCCCAAGTTATCCGTAACACCATCAAAAAGGAACTTCTACTGTGTTCCACCCTGAAGAGTTGGGGTTGCTTGTTATTGCAACATCCTTGCCCATTGTACCATCATCTCTTTGTTGCATCTCAGGAAATGTCCTTTACATTCACCTGCCCTGGACAATCCACTAGGTTTGTTTGTCCTCAAACGAAATGGCCTCACACCGCTGAGATTTTATAATACTTCAAGTTTTTATAGGTTTTCTCCTTCCTTCACTGTGGTTAGTAAGTTTAACCCAAGAAAGCCCTCTTATTCCTTCTAATCTATTTGGGAAACTGAAGAAGTGAATGTGTTGAATCACTAATCTTACTTTGAGTGTCCTTGTGAGTCAACAGGGCTCTGGGTTCACCAGGGCTTCATCTATAAGTATAATTCAGAATTTTTTTATTGGTCATTTTTCTCCTTCCCAAGAAGGTTTTTCCTATCATTTCCAGGTTTCAAGTAGGACCCACGTAGATTAGGGTCACAGAAATATGTATTCTGCCTAAGATAACTAGGATCATATCACTTTTATAACTAAATCCATGGAAGTGGCACCAAGTGAACTTTGTTGAAAACAGCTTGCTCACTTCATTCATTCACTATTCATTTATTCAGTTTACCTTTAATGGAAGAGGGGAGAAGAGACTGAAGAAAGACAGATGAAAGTGAAGAAGAGAAATAAGTTGTAACCATTCCCCACGCCTAACTCTCTATATATTCCCCTTATTTTATTCATAAGTTGTTAGAGGGTACAATAAAAACTAAGTTAAGATGTAATTTGAAATGGAGTCTGTCTAATCCAAAACCCTAGCTTTCTACCCTTGCTCCTTGCACAGCGATTTTCTGGAGCTGTCCACCCTCATCACTTTGTTGCATCTCTAGAAAGATCCAGGGATTAAATAATTATGTGCTTCCTGTGTGGTGGCCTAAGAATTAAGAGAAGTGACCTGTTTGATGCCTGTGTGCACCCTCTCTTTGACAAAGCATGGCCTGATTTCCCAATCCTTATGGAGCTCTGTTGAGGGTTACACAGCAAGGATTCTGCCTGCCTTTACCTTGCAATTGCTATGAGAATAAATTCAAAATGGTTCCCGAGTTCAGCATGTGACTCCCACTTCTGCTGCTAAAAAAACAAGACAGCTATTGTATTGAATGCACTCTACTCATCAGGCACTCTGAGAATGAAGGTGACCTGGCTGGTATATATGGGTCTGTGGAAAGACAAAGTATTTTTACATAGAACCATTGACTACCATTACAATTTTGAAATATGTTCCCTATAAAAAAAATACTGAAGTCAATACATTAGTTTAAAAGGACATAAAAAGAGTCTTTATTCTGCCAATGTGAACATATGTGCTTCCACAGCAAGCCCATAAAGGGAATCTAGAGGCTACTTCATGGAGTATTCTGCCATTTCCAATGTCCGCTCTACAAAAGATGTCATTCTTTTATACATTATTTTCTTTTATTTTATTTTTCTAGAGACAGGGTCTCACTTTGCCACCCAGACTGGTGTGCAGTGGTGCAATCATAGCTCACTGTAACCTTGAACTCCTGGGCTCAAGCAATCCTCCCACCTCAGCCTCCTGAGCAGCTAGGACTACAGACTCACAACATTACACTCAGCTAATTAAAAAAAAAAAACTTAAAGAGACAAAGACTTGTTCTGTCACCCAGGCTGGAGTGTAGTGGTGCGATCACAGCTCACTGCAGCCTCAAACTCCTAGACTCAAGTGATCCTCCTACATAAGCCTCCCAAGTAGCTAGGACTACAGGCTCATGCCACCATGCTCAGCTAAGTTTTAAATTTTTTTTGTAGAGATAGGGTCTCACTACGCTGTCCAGGCTGGTCTCAAACTCGTGGCTTCAAGTGATCCTTCCACCTCAGCCCCCCAAAGTGCTGGGATTGCAGGGGTGAGCCATCACGTTCAGCCTCTTTCTAAATTCTACAAAAAAACATGCATTCATATTATATCGTGCAATGCTATGTAAGTCATGTTTTAGATATGCCATGGCCGGTTCCTATTCCATGGGGAGTTCTCAGCATCATAAAGGTATTTGAAGTTTAAGTCTACATGTTGTAAAGGTGATGCTCAATGCTCAATTCTCAGACTAGAACCAGAACTTCCACAATTTCATATTTTTAAGAATATCAAGCAACTTCCACTTACAATTAACTATAAAAAGGGTTAATTTTCTCCTCAGTTGCCTATTGTCAATAAAATGTTTACTTGGCCTAATGACCGACTGATACCAAAAAAGGTATAAGGACTCAACTGTTAAGAAACAATGATGTATAATGTTGACTGAGAAAGGGACGGAGATCTTCGAAGACCTTCAAAACATAAATCTGATTACTGCCACCCATAATCAAATGTGTATGTCTAAGTCTTCCACAGGTGAATACACCTACGGTTCTGCCCCTGAACCGCAAGGCCATACCTCCCCAAGACTGACTCTGTGAGGGCTAACAGGCTATAATTGCTGACAGGGAGGTTTTCAGCTTGTCATAGAGATAAAAAAATATGGTTATTCTTGAGTAATAAGTGGAAATTCGTGAAATAAGTGATGAAAACAAGGGTATAAAGGCTACAGAAACCCTTTCCTACCCAACACAGAGTGAGACACAAGCCCAAGAGAAAACAAAAAGAACACAGCAAAGCCAGCCAGAGCATGACTTCAGGGTGTGCTCACTAGGTGATATTATCTACGTTGAAAAGACATGGTACCTGAAGATCAAGAGTTTGAGGTTTAAGCATGCATACACTTTTTCTGTTTTTTCTTCTATAAAGTTCAGTATACTTTTATGGCATTTTAACTTTCAGTTTTGGTACCTTGGGAACACAGCATCCTCTATCTTGGCAGAGTTAAGTGGGGCATGAATGGCCTTTTCCTAAGTAGAATGGTGATTTAACAGAGTTTTTATGAGTATGGTCCAACAGTAGACCTGACATTTTTATCAAGAGGACAGAAGTGTCAGTTTGAAAGATCTTCTAACACTGTTCATGGCTACTGCTAGGAACAGAGTAGGGCAATCTTTCCCTTCTTTTTATGTGGAGGGCAGGGACTCCTTAAGTAGGCTGACCTGGCCATTCATTCAGTCTAGCCTAAGCCACAGGCTTTCTGGCCCACATTCCAGCGTAAGCAGATGCTGTGTTGACATTCTTTTTAATCCTCCTTCCTCACCTAGAATACATTATTCCTCGATGTAGGCATGCAAATATCTGCTGAATGGATTATTTCAGTTATGGACACCAATAGTACCTGTCCAGTAAATATGACCCAGAAATCATCTTTGACTCCTTCCTCTCCATTCTCCAAATCCAACAATTACTAAGTTATATTATTTTATCCCTTCAAATACCTTTGAATATGTTGCCCCCTTTTCCTTTCCTGCCATCCTCCCAACACCCTCAAACGAATAGGCTCCCATTACCTATCTTTAATTCCTGACTCGCCTGTCCCCTGTTTCTCCCAACTCTGGCCACCCTACATACATTGTCACCGGTTTCAGATATATACACACAAACTCACTGAGCCCCTTCCATAAACAAGAACTGGGAACTCTGTGTCACCTCCTGCATTAACTTCACATTCCTCCGCCAGGTCTTAGTGATCCTTTAGCTCTGTTATCCCCACAGCTGTCAAATTCTCTTTCATACCAATCTCCAGCAATGCACATATAACTCCGCTGGCCCCTCCAACATATCCCATGCAGGCCATCTGTGTCCCTTCCTCATGCTTTTGTCCCTGCTGCCACTGTGCCTACAATGACCCCTCAGTTTCCTCCACCCATCATCACTACACATCCTGTTAAGGTCCCTGTCAGGCTTTGCTTCTCATAGGAAGCTCTTCCTGAAGACTCCAATCCCCAGCCATTTCTCATTCCTCTTCTGAACCTGACACTGGCACCCCATTACAAATTCTCAGTTGTCTGTTGTCATGGATTGCTCTATAATTGCTTCCTGTGGATTGGTATTGTGCCCTGAACTAGATTTTTTGTTTTGTTTTGTTTTTTGATGGAGTCTCACTCTGTCACCCAGGCTGGAGTGCAGTGGCCGGATCTCAGCTCACTGCAACCTCTGCCTTCCAGGTTCAAGCAATTCTCTTGCCTCAGCCTCCCAAGTAGCTGGGATTACAGGTACACACCACCATGCCTAGCTAATTTTTGTATTATTTATTTATTTATTTATTTGAGACGGAGTCTCGCTCTGTCGCCCAGGCTGGCATGCAGTGGCGCGATCTCGGCTCACTGCAACCTCTGCCTCCGGGGTTCAAGTGCTTCTCCTGCCTCAGCCTCTTGAGTAGCTGGGATTACAGGCATGCGCCACCATGCCCAGCTAATTTTATTTGTATTTTTAGTAGAAACGGGGTTTCTCCATGTTGCTCAGGGTGGTCTCGAACTCCCGACCTCAGGTGATCCGCCCGCCTCGGCCTCCCAAAGTGTTGGGATTACAGGCATGAGCCACCGCACCCGGCCTAATTTTTGTATTTTCAGTAGAGATGGGGTTTCACCATGTTGGCCAGTCTGGTCTCGATCTCCTGACCTCAAGTGATCTGCCCACCTCGGCCTACCTAAGTGTCAACTAGGTTTTTTTGAAGATAATTTTAGATTTACAGAAAGCGGCAAAAATAGTACAGAGCTCCCTTGTACCTTCCACCCAGTTTCCCCCTATATTAACAGCTTACAAAGCCATAGAACCACGATCAAAACTAGAAAGTTAACCTGGGTCACGACTACTCAACAAACCGTAGGGTGTATTAGGATTTCACCAGTTTTTGCACCAAACAGGCTTTTTTTTTTTTTTTCCTGTTTCAGGATCATACTTAGAATTTTATGTGGTCATATTTCTTAGTTTCTGCTAATCTGTGACAGTTCCTGAATCCTTCCTTATCCTTAAAGACCTTGACAATTTTAAGGGGAGGGGTCAGTTATTTTTTCGAATGTCCTTCCATTTGAGTTTGCTATTTTTTTCTTGATTAGAGTGAGATTATGCCTTTTCAGGGAGGATATCAGAGATGACACGCCCTTCTCAGTGGGACACACGATGTCAATATGTATCACTGGTGACATTAACCTTGATCACTCAGTTAAGGTGATGTCTGCCAGGATTCTTCACCGT